>NC_000004.12:79678956-79830471 GCF_000001405.40 Homo sapiens | reverse complement strand
CTGTAGAGGGTACAAGATGTATGGTGTTAAACAAAAATGTCTATCTCTTACCCTTGGAGAGTTTACAGTTTAGATGTAGCCAAATAGAAATAGAAAATAAATAAAAAATAATCAGTAAACAAACAAATAATGTAATTTCAAATTGTGAAAAGGGTATAGAGGAAACCAACAGGGTGAAGTCAAACAGAATAATATTCAGTAGTAAGAAGGAGACCAGGGCTTTGATCCCTCATGCATAAAACGTTAATATTTTGGTCATATTTCCTGGTGCTGTAAAAAGTGATTCATTGCAGATTTTTGACCAAGGAAGTGACAAGAAAAATGATATTTTTGGTTCTTCTGATAGACTTACTGGACTCACTATATTAGGTGGCCAGCAATATAAACAAAAAGTGAGTTTAGACTGTCAGAAGTTGCGGTCACAGGGAGAAAACAAGTAGCAGCAATATCTTAAGACTTAATGACAAACTTGAAACCAGGTTTAACCCTTTTCCCCTTTAGAAAAAAAAAAGAGTGCAGCTCACTGCTAGTGCTCATTTAATTTTACATAAACACACTCTTTGAGGCTGAAACAAAGGTGATAGCTTTTCAATGTGAAAATAAAATATAAAAACTGATCTTGGAGTTATTTCTAAACAGAACTAACATCAAAATCATCTCAATCATCAGAATTGTCTGTTTTGGAAAAATCAGATTCATGAAATGAATCTTCTGCCAACAGCTGTTTGGGAACGATGTTAACATCACACACTTCCAAAAGAAATCTTGTAACTCTTAGTTATCCTTCCAGCCCCCGAACCCAAGCCCTAAGCAACTACTAATCTACTTTCTGTCTCTATAGGTTTTCCTATTCTTGACATTTTATATAAACTGAATCATATAATTCATGTTCTTTAGTGAATGGCTTCTTTTACTTAGCATAATGTTTTTAAGATTCATCCATGTTATAGCATATATTAGTACTTTATTATTTTTTATGGCTAAATAATATTCCACAGTGATTTCCTCCACTTTATCGGTTGATAGACATTGTTTCAACTATATGGCTGCTATAGATGTTTGAAACAAGTTATGTTTTTATTGTTGGATATATACTTAGGAGTAGAATAACTGGGTCATATGGTAACCTATGTTTAACCCACTTGAGGATTTGTCGGACTGTTATCCAAGGTGGTTGCCCTATTTTATATTCCCACCAGCAGTGTATGAAGGTACTAATTTCTTCAAATTTTAACAGCGATTGAGAATTACTATATTTTGTAAATGGAAATACCACTACTAAAAACACAATGCTATAAATAGAATGATGTCTTTTGTTTCCAAAGTTGATATACTAGAGCAATGTAAAAATAATAAAAGCGAGATATTTCATGGCAAAATTATCACAGGTTAAACGCTGCAGCCACAAGCACCACCAGTGAGTATTTTCAGGGCAAATGGGAAAAGGACCAAGAAGAAAAAGTTTAATAAATTTAACTTGAGAGGCCAGAATAATAGTAATGCCACTAACAAAGGAAGAGAAGTTGGGAAAAGAGGCAGATTTATAAGGGAAAACAATCAGTTTTGAACATAATCTTAAAGATGATGTCCATTGAAGACAACTGGTGACTTAGAAAAGTGATGCAGCTGATTCTGATGTGATGGATCCATTCACAAAGTTAATAAGGAGAAGCTGGGCATAGTCAGGGTATTCTTAAACACTGAAGTTACATAATGTCATGCTTTCAGAGCAATGACAGACAAAAGATTGGATTGTTTTCATTCAATACGATAATTTATTACTTTTTATATTTTTGTAATCTTATCACAACTTCTACTGAAACCTGAGAAGTATCTTACTAGATTCTCAGAGACTATTCCTGGAACACAGCAATACTCAAACTCCTTATTGACAAGTGGATTATTTGAATTGTGCAGATCTCTGAGAAGGTGAAGATACTTTTCAGAAACATTTGGGCACTGAGTCTTTCTTTCCCTGGATGGTATGTGGCATTGCAGATGCTGACTTTGATACAAAATCAATAAAAAAATGCAATCTGTTAACATTCATTTAAGTAAAAGTGCATAGATTAGGAAACTGTTGCAGACACTGTTAGTACTCTACCCATCTCTAATTGGGTTTCTTTGCCGTTGTCATATGTGTAAGCTCCCAGTCAGCTTTCATTCCTAACAGCCAACACCTGTGTCTCTTGGTAGACGGATGCTTTCAAACATTCAGATTCCATTTTTCTACGTGCATGGAGATCTAAAATTGCCTAGGAATTTACTCCTCTACCTCACCACTATGGGTGGTGTATAAGCAATGTCTGGTCAGAGATGAATAACTCAACTCTCTTGCCACTTGACTTCGGAGAACTGACAAATAACCCACATTTTCTCCAGAGTTCCCCTATGGGATTAAAAAGATTTTCTTTAAAATTTTATTGTGGTAAGAACATTTAACATGAGATCCACCCTCTTATCAAATTTTTAAGTGTAAAATATATTATTGTTGCTTCATATAGGATTGAATCCAAGTCCTGCATGAAACATAGCATGACTTGACACCCATTCCTGGCATCTTTTCCTTCCTGATCCCATTTTCCTGCTTCCCTAAACAATTTTTCCTGGGAACACTTCCTACTAAAACACTTTCACATGAATCCTCATTTCAGAGCCTAAAACCAACCCAAGTCAGAAGGTTGATTAGTTTTTTTATTTGCTGCTATAATAGGTAACCACAACCTTGGTGGCTTAAAATAACAAAAATTTATTAACTTATAGTTCTGAAGTCCAGTATGGGTTAAAACCATGTCACTGTACTAAAACCAAGACGTTTCAGGAGTGCATTCCTCTTACAAGACTCTGGGGGAAAGAGTGTTTCCTTACCTTTTCCACGTTCCCAAGGCCATCCATGTTTCTCAGTTCCTCACTCTTTTTCTCCATTTTCAAAACCAGCAAACGGTAGTAGATTTCACAGCACATCGCTCTGACTTCCTCTTCTGCCTCCCTCTCTCACTTTAAAGGCCCTTCCTGATTACATTGAGCCTACCTGGATAATCCAGGCCAATCTCCTTATCTTCAATCAGCTGACGAGCAACTTCAATTCTATCTGTAACCCTAATGCTCCTTTGCCAGGATACTTAACACTGTTCTTCTCTTCCTTCTTCAGAATCTCACTTACAATAAGTTTTATTTAATGATTCTCCTCCTTATACTTTCTGTCTCACCAGTTTCCTCTCACACTGATTTACCTGCTACACATAAATATTCTTATTGGGCTTATGTGCCTTTTCCTCCACTTATTCAACCTCTCACCTGGATAGATGCTTCTGCAGAAATCTACACTAACAATAGTGTGTGGATGCCTGGAGCCACAGATAACTGTTGCCCTGCCCAACCAGGAGAATAAGACACTGCATTTAATGTTACTATGGGTTATAAATACCACCCTCTGTGCCTTGGACATGCACCTGGTTGTATACATCTAGAAACTCAAGTCTGGGCTGCTTATCTTCCTGAAAGTTCAGCTACAGATAAAATGAGACATTTGGTCTCTGGCCTCTCCCTTTCTCCTTTAAAACAAATGAAAGGAGGAGTAATGGGAGATACCCATACTTTCCATATAAACCTGCAGGAAAACCGTGCCCTAAAAATTTTGAGGGCCCATCTAAAACTTTAATTTGGGAAGATTGTGTTAACTCACATGCAGTAATATTAAAAAATGACTCATATGGTTTAGTAATAGACTGGGCACCAAAGGGCTATTTAAAAAACAATTGCTCCTCTGGTGGAAGGGAATGCCTGGAGGCTACTTATTTTATTTCTTATCAAGAGAACGAGAATCATCATTCTACTTTGCATAGGAGGATCAGCTCATTCTTTCCCTTAAAATGGGTAGATAAAGGCATTACACCCCCCAACCCCAGGCCTCATATGATACTCCCCATTCTGAGCCCAGAACACCCAGAACTTTGGAAATTGGCTATTGCCATGTCTGGACTGTGAGTGTGGGAAGGGAAAACTATTCTGACTGTTGTTCCCACTACCATCCCACTCAGTATCAATGTAGACCCAGACATTCTGCTTTACTTACCTCCAACCTGACTATTCCCATACAGAGCTGTGTTAAGCCTCCTTACATGCCGTTAGTAGGAAATATCAAAATTTGGACACATAATCAAACTGTCCAATGCATTAATTGTCATCTATGCACTTGTATTAACTCCCATTTTGACTCCAGGAAAAATGTAATGTTCGAGCTCGAGAAGGAATCTGGATTCCGGTAACTTTACCTAGACCTTGGGAATCCTCCCCCTCAATAAGGAAGTGCTACAGCGAATTCTAAAAAGATCTAAGAGATTTGTTTTCACTTTAGTCACTGTTATCATGGGCCTAATTACAGTCACTGCAATGGCCACCACTGCCGGAATGGCATTACACCAATCCATTCAAACAGCTCATTTTGTTAATGATTGGCAAGCCATTTCCACCCAAATGTGGAATTCTCAACAAGGCATCGATCAAAAATTGGCAAATCAAATTAATGATTTAAGACAGTCTGTTATTTGGGTTGGAGATCGGGTAGTGAGTCTCGAGCATCTCATGCAAATGCAGTGCGATTGGAATACTTCAGATTTCTACATCACCCCATATTCCTATAATGAGACTGATCATTCATGGGAAATGGTCAAAGGACATCTTCTGGGTAGAGAAGATAATTTATCATTGGACATAACTAAATTAAAGAAACAAATTTTTGAAGCCTCTCAAGCTCACTTATCCATTGTGCCTGGAGCTGAGGCGTTAGATCAGATGGCAGAAAATCTTTATGGATTAAACCCCATGACTTGGATTAAGTCTACTGGGGGCTCCACTGTAGTACATTTTGGAATTATGTTTCTCTGTTTAATCGGCTTGTTTTTAGTGTGCCAGACCAGTCAAAGAATCCTGCATCAAAATCGGGAGAACGAACAAGCCTTCATCGCCATGGCACATTTATATAAAAAGAAAGGGAGAGATGTTGTGGGAAGTCAGGGACCCCAAACGGAGGGACCAGCTGAAGCCATGGCAGAAGAATGTGGATTGTGAAGATTTTATGGACATTTATTAGTTCCCCAAATTAATGCTTTTATAATTTCTTATGCCTGTCTTTACTGCAATCTCTAAACATAAATTGTAAAGATTTCATGGACACTTACCACTTCCCCAATCAATACCCTTGTGATTTCCTATGCCTGTCTTTACTTTAATCTCTTAATCCTGTCAGCTGAGGAGGATGTATGTTGCCTCAGGACCCTATAATAATTGCATTAACTGCACAAATTGTACAGCATGTGTGTTTGAGCAATATGAAAACTGAGCACCTTGAAAAAAGAACAGGATAACAGCAATTGTTCAGGGAATAAGAGAGATAACCTTAAACTCTGACTGCCAGTGAGCCGGGCAGAACAGAGCCATATTTCTCTTCTTTCAAAAGCAAATGGGAGAAACATTGCTGAATTCTTTTTCTCAGCAAGGAACATCCCTGAGAAGGAGAATGTGCACCTGGAGGTATAGGCTTATAAACAGCCCCCTGGGCGTGGCCGTTTCTTATGGTCGAGACTGCAGAGATGAAATAGACTTCAGTCTCCCATAGAGCTCGCAGGCTTATTAGGAAGAGGAAATTCCTGCCTAATAAATTTTGGTCAGACCGGTTGATCTCAAAACCCTGTCTCCTGATAAGATGTTATCAATGACAATGGTGCCCGAAACTTCATTAGCAATTTTAATTTTGCCTCGGTCCTGTGGTCCTGTGACCTCGCCCTGCCTCCACTTGCCTTGTGATATTCTGTTACCTTGTAAAGTACTTAATGTCTGTGACCCACACCTATTCGCACACTCCCTCCCTTTTGAAAATCCCTAATAAAAACTTGCTGGTTTTTGCGGCTTGTGGGGCATCACGGAACCTGCCAACATGTGATGTCTCCCCTGGATGCCCAGCTTTAAAATTGCTCTCTTTTGTACTCTGTCCCTTTATTTCTCAAGCTGGCCGACACTTAAGGAAAATAGAAAAGAACCTACATGAATACTGGGGCAGGTTCCCCGATACTGTAACCCTAATGCTCCTTTGCCAGGATACTTAACATAGTCACAGGTTCTGGGGATGAGGACATGGACATATTTGGGGCTGAGGACTCCTAATTCTGCTTATAGCAGTTGATAAACCCCAAATACGAAAGGCTTGTCATACCACAAATTAGATTATTTTCTCATATCAGACATTATCCTATTCTGGAAATGTGTTAGCTTCTGCCTTTTTAGGGAACTACAGGCCTAGGAAAATTCACATCAAGAGAAGTTATATCTGTTTCTAACTTGCTCCTATTAATTATTTGTGTCCTTGACTAATGAAATCAGGAGTTTTAATCTGTTTATATCTTGGGAGAGTGGAGAAATCTCTACTTGCCCATCCACAACCAACACAAAAGACCAGAAATTCAGCAATAACTTTTCCAACTTGGAAATTAAGGATTAAAAGCAGGAGCAATGTTCTTTGCTAAAGAACTCCATTTTGATCCCAGTATTCAAGAAGAGAGTGGGTGTTATTGTTAAGGATATTGCAATAAGAATTAAAAATATGATGGGGATTAGACTAGAGTGTGTCTAAGATAAATTCTGTGGTATGTTTTATTATTGCAATTATATAAACACAAGGAAGATTGGCAGAGATTTGGAAACTGTCTTTGTATCACAGCATAACTCAGCCAAGTCACCATTAGAAGGGCAGTTACTGGAGACTGTATCTGCAGCAGAAGCTGCCCACATTCTGACCAATGAAATAATAAAAAACAAATTGAAGAAGTATGGAATTCTGCGTCACTTTACAAAAGAAGCTTTTACATGTCCAGGGATGTTTGGAATACTCTCCTTGGGGGACACAAGTAAGGTGCACAAAGCCATCAATTAAGTGCTCATGTGAAAAAAGAGTTTAGAAGCCAGAAGAAGATGGATGTTTAAATATGCTTATGCTATTTTATTTGAAGCCAAAAAAGGAGACACTAGAATTGTTTGTCATATCTGAACTGTTGCTGAGAAACTAAGAAAGGTATTTCCAAAGTAGGATGCCAGCTAACGCTGAAAAACCTTGGAGGCTGCTTGCCAAGACTGTAAACTCCATTTGTCACTAAGCCTGTGTAGTACAGTTTCTTCTAAATTTATCTTCTCCATTTGTTTTTGTCATAGAATTATAAACAATGTGAGGTTAGACACATGAAATTGCTATATGTGTTGCTTCTTTTAGCTCTGTTAGAAGCAGCTTTGTTTAATATCAACTACACTGTTAAAATCTAGGAAGACTCAAATTCCATTAGATCCTAAAGTTTTGAGGGTTAGGGATGATGTCTTTCTCTTTTATGTATGCTCTAAATTGCCCCACTTATTGGCTATTTCATACTAGGTATTAAGTATTAGCTCCAACTTGTGGGAAAATGAATGAATGAATGAAGAAAATGAATGATTTACTGACTAAAAATTCAATATAGAGGTGTTTCTTCAGTTTTATAAAATACTACATTGAGCAAACATGGTATAATACAACCGTATAAAATTGTTGATATTTTAATATCTTTAATCTATAGAAATGACAATGCCTAGTTGGTAGGTCAACTGTCTTCCCTCCCTCCAAATATCATATTCAAAATAAATGATACTTATTAGGTCCCTATTAAGGACTAGGTATTCAGATATATGTTTTTCTATGTTATATTATTTAATCCTTAAAACAACCCTGTAATAGACAAAATTCTAAAATGTCCTCCAAGATTTCCACTTTCTGATGTACACTTTGATACATTATCCCTAGGACTGTGAATCTCATAGTTTTTTTTTTATTTTTGTAATTAGATAATGTTCTATGGCATAATTTTAAAAAAGATAGATTATCTGGGTGAGCCTGACCCAATCTCTTGACCCCTTTAAATCTGGCTATAGAGGCCAGACACAGAAGAAGTCAGAGATTTGAAGCATGAGAGAGATTTGATGTGAGACAGACCCACTGTTGCTGGCTTTGCAGATGGAAGGGCCACGTGGCAAGAAACCATGGGCAGCTTCTGGGTGTTAAGGGTGGTCGGAAGCCAATATCCAGCAGGAAAGCAGGAGCCTCAGTTCTATGACAAAAAATAATTCTTCCAATAGTGCTTTAAAGAGGGTCCTGAGCCGCAGATGAGAATCCTAGACCCAGCTGACACCTAGATTTCAGCCCCGTGAGACCTTAAGAAGATAAACCAGTCATGATGTTCCCCCAACCTTTGATCTACAGAAACTGAGAGATGTTAAATCAGTGTGGTCTTATACCCCTAAGCTTATGATATTGGTTACACAGGAATAGAAAATAAACATAAACTGCTATGGTTTGAATGTTGTTTCCTCCAAAACTTCTGTTAAAATTTGTCATTATAACAGTAGTAAGAGGTGGGACCTTTGAGAGGTGATTAGGCCATGAGGGCTCTACCCTCATGGGTGGGATCAATGTTGTTATAAAAGGGAGAGCTTGGCCTTCTCTTGCTCTCTGGCTCTCTGGTGTGCCTTCTTGGCCCTTCTTCCTGCTCTTTGCTATGGGATGATGCAGCAAGAAGGGCCTTGCAAGATGCTGGAAACTTGATCCTGGACTGCCCCGCCTCCAGAATTGTATTATAATAAATAAATTTCTGTTCCTTATAAATTATCCTGTCTCAGGTATTCTGTTATAGCAGCATGAGTAGACTAAGGCAGGAAATTTGTACTAGAGAATTGAGGTGTTGCTGTCACAAACACCTGACAATGTGGAAGCAGCTGTGGAACTGGGTGATGAGTAGCGGCTAGAAGAATTTGGAAGAGCAGGTGAGAAAAAAGCCTATATTACTATGAATGGAGCATGCAGAGTGATTCTGATGAGAGCTCAGAAGAGGAGAGCTGTGGCGAAAGTCTGAAACTTCTTCGAGATTACTTAAGCGGTTGTAATCCAAATATTGGTGGAAAGATGGGCAATAAAGGCCATTCTGATGAGATCTCAGACGAAAATGAGGAACAAGGTTTTGGAAATTGGAGGAAAGGCCATTCTTGTTACAGTGTCAAAGAACTTGGCTGAACTGTTATCAGTCCCCTAGGACTTTATGAAAGGTGGAATTTCAAAGCAGTGCACTAGGCTCTCTGGCAGAGGAAATATCTAAGCAGCAAAGCATTTAGGGTGCTGTATGGCTTCTTTTAATTGCATGTAGGAAAATGAGAGAAGACAGGATTTAAAGACAGAATTTATAATTAAAAAGAAAACAGAGTGTAGGGATTGGAAGAATTCTCATCCTAGCACTGTGGTATAGAGTGAAAGAGAATTTTCGGGAGAGGAAACCAAGGATGTGGCCAAACAACCATTTGACAAGAAGATTAGCATGGATAGAATGAAGTGAGGAGCTATGGATCAAGACAATGGAAGAATGATCCTAAAGGTACTTCGGAGATTTCTCCCGTCACAGGCAGAGCGTGCTGAGGCCTGGGGGAGAGAAATATGTCAAGAGGGAGGCCTAGAATACCCTCAGGACCTTGGGGCTCACTGCCCAGGGCTGCCTCAAGTCTCAACTTCCTGCATTCCAGGGCAACCCTTCTCAGCTGCCTCAGCCATGGCTCAAGCAGGCCCTGAATTTGACTCAACCCAAACTCCAAAAGGTACAAGCCATAAACCTTGGCAGTCTATGTGGTGCTAACTCTGCAAGCATGTCAAATCCAAGAGCTGGTGGGACATGACTTTCTTCACCTAGATTTCAAAGGATGTCATAGATAGACTGGCAGCCCTAACAGACTTGTCATAGGAGCAGAGCTATTGCAGAGAGTCCCCACTAGGGCAATTGCTGGTGGAGCCATGGGGACAGGGCCATCTTCAAGATACTAGAACTGTACAGCTACCAGCATACAATACCAGGCTGGAAGAGCTGCAGGGATGGGACTCCAACCTATAGGAGCTGCTGCATGGAGTAAGCCCCACAAAGCATAGGAACAAGGCTGCCTGAGGCCAACTCCTGTCCAAGTGTGCTGTAAGACAGGTCATGAAGTCAAATATTATGCTCAAGCTTTAGGACTTAGTATTGTTTGCCCTGTTGAGTTTTGAACTTGCTTTGGACCAGTTACTGCTTTATTCTTTCCTGTTTCTCCCTTTTGGAATGAAAGTTGTCTGTCCTATGCCTGTCCCACCATTATATTTTGTGGTTTGTAGCAACTTTCAGAGTTCATGTAATTCTTCCTTATTTATATTTTCTTTGCTGGGTAAACAACATATCAAGAACAACTTTTGATAAGCCATTTTTTTCTTGTAAGTCATATTATGCAATTTTGTGAGATGTTGCTGTTTCCTATGGATCTCCAGAACTAAGAAAAGCAGCATATAGCAAGATAGCTGAATAGACTCTGTATTATTAAACGATGTGTGTGTGCACACATGTGTGTGTAACATCATTCTGACATCAAAACCTATGCAGTTTGCTTAGACATTTATTATTTTTTAAAACACATTTTACTATTTTATTCCTTTTGGCCGGTAATGGTCATATTTTGTATAAACCATGTAATTAAGATAAGTCAAGAAGATTTTTGAAGTTACTCACAGAAATATTGTATTTAGAATTTTCACAATTGTCATTATGAAAAAGATTGTCTGTGTTTTTTTTCTATTTACATCCTTTTCAGTTAAGTATAAAAATTATCTTGGACTCATAAAATAATGTGTCTTTTTTCTAATTTCTGAAATAATTTGAAATTTGAAATAAATCTTTTTTCTTAAAATTTTGGGATAATCTACTGCAGAACAATCTGAATTAAGTACTTTCAATGAAAACATTTTAAACAATGAATTCAATTTCTTTAATACATTTAAGATTATTAATATTATCAATTTCTTTTTGGGTCAAAATTGATCCTTTGCTTTTCTCAGGAATTTGTTTATTTTAACTATACTGTCAAACTTATTGGCATAAAGTAGTTTTATTATAGTCTCTTCTTTTTAAGTTATACCTAGGATTTCACTGTTGTATATTCTTTCATCACTGTTATTGGTAATTTGTGTTTTCCCTTTTCTTTTTGGGCACTCCTGTTAGCATTTTATCAATTTAATTAATCTTTTCTAAGAATTACTTAATAAATTTGTTGATTTTTCCCTACCATAGTTATTTCCCCTATTTCATTGATTTCCGCTTTTCTGATTTTATTTTTCCTTCTTTTTACTACTTTTTTAGTTTGATTTGCTGTCCTTTTTCCAGCTTCTTAAGGTGAAATATTAGGTCATTGATTTAGACCTTTCTTCCTTTTAAATCTAAGCATTTAAAGTAATACATTTTCATGACTTTAGCTGCAGCCAACAAATTGTGAAATTTTCTAATTAAAATATTTTCTAACTTTCTAATTTTTTTGCTATTTCTTTTTTTACCCAGGGGCAACTTAGAAATGTGTTGTTTCTATCTGTGCTTCTCTAGGAATCATTGTTAGTAAGCTCTTATTTAATTTTACTGTGTTAATAACAATTACTCTAAAATATTTTAGGTTTTTTGATATTTATTGAAATTTTTATCTTTAGTCAGCGTATGGTCTATCTTAGTGACCATCTCCTGTGCACTAAAAGAGAGCAAATATACTCCACTTGTTGGGTTAAATGCTTATTAATATCAAGTAAAGTAAGGTGTTTGATAGTAGTATTCAAATATTCTCTAGGCTTTTTGAGTTTTTCACTACTTGTTCTATCAATTGCTGACAGATTGGTGTTAGAGTTACTATGAAGCTGTGCTCAAGTATTTCTCCCTTTAGTTCTGTTTTTCTCCCAAGTATTGTGAAGTTCTGTTATTAGGTGCACATATATCTGTGAATTTTATGTCCTCTTGATGATTTGACTATTCTACCATAAAATATGTTCTCTTTATCTCTAACAAAATTCTGTAAAGTCAGTTTTTATAGTAATATAGGCATGCCAATTTTGTAATGCCCATTGTCTTCATGGTATGCATTTTCATATTTATTTGTACCTATTTATCTCTTAAGGTGCATCATTTATGGAAAACTTATAGTTGCATCTTACTTTTTATCCAGGCTGACAATCTCTGACATTTAAATGGAATGTTCAGCCATTTTACATATAGTGTAATCAGTCCATTTAGTTGAAATTAAGTCTACCGTTTTGCTATTTTCTTTTTATTTGTTCTTTCAGTTTTTTGTTCTGTCTACTTTGCCTTCTTTAAGGGTAATCGGACACTTTTTAATATTGCATTTCAATTTCTTTATTGCCTTTTTAGTGTAATTTTTGCAGTACATTTTTAGTAGTTGATGTAGGAACTCACATTATAAATCATTAATTTACCACATAACATAAAGCATGAAACTTTGCAATAGTATAGCTCCATTTACCATCCTATCCTTTGTGTTATTGTCAAATATCTTAACATAAGTATACATTATAACCCATGAAATATAATGTTGTAATTTTGGCATTAGTCATATTTTTTTTAATTGGTGAAAGAAAAATACATGTAATAATCAGTCCCAGTGTTCATTATTTATTTCTGTAATTCTGAGTTTTCATTTGGTATCACATGCCTTCAGCTGAAAGAACTTTCAGCATATCTTGCTAAAATTCTCCAAGTTTTCATTTTTATATAATGTCTATATTATGTTTTCATTTTTTGAAAAAAAATAGAAATGAACATCAAATTATTTCAGTACTTTAAAGATTTTATTTTATTGTCTTCTGGCCTCTGTTATTCCTGATGAGAAGTCTGCTATCACTTCTATTATTGCTTTTCTGTAGGTAATTTGTTGTTTTTCTCTGGTTACTTTAAGTATTTTTTTCTTTTTCTGTATTTTTTATTAGATTGCTTGGTTTCATTCAGCTTTCTACATCTGTAAGTTTATGTTTTTTACCATATATTTTTGAAAATTGCTAGTATTTAAAAATAATTTTTCCTGATCCACTCTTTCATCTTCTCAGGCTATGTTACATTTATAATTGATTTCCTGATATTGTCTTGAAGGTCATTGAGACATGCTTTTCCCAGTCCTTCTATTTTTCAGATTGAATATTTTCTATTGATCTACCATTAATTTTACTGGGGCTATTCCCAAGCTGCTCTTAAGCCTAACCAGTGAATTTATAATTTCAGATATTTTATTTAGATTACAAATTTTGACTTGCTTTTTAGAAAATATTCTCTATTTCTCTGTTGAGGTAGTCCACCCATTAATTTATTGTGACTTTGTTTTACTTGGTCTTAGTCAATATTTGCAGTAATTATTTTAAATTCCTGTATACTAGTTCTGACATCTGGGTCATCTAAGGTTTGGTTTCTATTGGCTGATTTTTCTCTTTATTATGTGAACACTTTTCTGTTTTTTTTTTTAAGGTTTCATAATGTTTTATATTATACTAGACATTTTAGGTAATATATTGTAGAGACTCTAGATTTTGTTATCTTCCTCTGAAGAGTACTGTTTTAGTTCTAGCAGGTAGTTAACTGGGCTTGACTCAGACTTTCAGCTTTGCCTCTCCTTCCCAGAAGCAATTAAATTTCTACTTGGTTCTTTAAACTTTCCAGCAGTGTTTCCTTCTGCTGTCCTTGGAGTCAGTCCATTTATTTGCAACTTTGAGTTAACCAAAGATTTAATCAGAATTTATAGACTAATTTTTATATTTTCTTTTCTGAAACTTTGTGGAGCTTGGTCCTCTGATTCTTCAAGACTATGACTTTTTGTTTAGGTTTTAGATTCTTATGTTATTAGAACTGGGAAATGCCCTCAGTTAAAAAGCTGTGTTAAATGTATATATAGCAGTGCAGTTCTTTTTTTCTTTTAAGATTCCACTTTCTTCCAGCTTCTGCCTATTTGTATTCACTCTAGTATCTCAAAATGTTGTTGTTGTTGTTTATAAATATTTTGTTATAACTGTTTTACATGGAAAGAGTTAATTCAATACAAGGCCTTCCATTATCACCAGAAGTAGGATCTCTGTAAGAGCTCTTTAAATGTCATTTTATGTGATTTTCTCTATCTTATCTATCACTCCCTATATTTGTAAACACATGTGGTTGTATTTTGTGGTTGTTGTGCTTAATGTGTTTTTCTTCTCTTAATGTATTTGTTTTCCTCCTACAATTTGTCTTAAAGGTTTGTTGGTTCAAACTCACCTCTTGATTTTGAGTAATTTCATCTTTGAAAAAAAAATGTAGTTTTTCTTTATTTTTAAAAATACAACATCTATAAAGAACTATTCTTATAGTTTCTTTTTCTGTTTCCTTGTGTATTTACTCTTGCATCTGTCATCTGTATTTTCCTCATGTTCTGATTCTTCTTTATTTACCCTCTTGCCTGCCTAAAGAGTTTCATACTAATTGGATTGTTATTATTATTTTCAATGAAGCTATTTGTTGAAGAATCACTTGGGGAGAAATAGAAATAGTAAAATGAGCCAGTCAGCATCTTCTTGGAATTGCTGTTGCAAGTATCCTCAATAAGTTTATTTTCCTTTGTCCTGGGGGCAACTTTCCTGTCCTTGTTATTGTTGTTAATGTAAGAGGTTTATTGAAGACAGTTTTTTGGTCACAGCTTTCTGGGTTACTATCACTTTGTACTTTTCTTCCTTGATCCTCTAAGACAATGAACTTACAACTTTGTGACCAGCTCAGTTTCCCCTTCAGCTCCACGTTCATTTGTATTTTGTGATCTCAGACAAGGTTTTACCAGGGTCTTATCCATTCTCTCAGGGTCTTATCCATATCTATGTGATATAGATATACTCCTAGTTCTTGTCTCTACAATCAAAGGATATTCATATAGGCCATTTAAGACAATGCTTCTTAATTTTAAGAAAAGTCGGCCGGGCATGGTGGCTCATGCCTATAATCCCAGAACTTTGGGAGGCCGAGCCAGGTGGATCATCAGGTCAGGAGTTCGAGACCAGCCTGACCAACATGGTGAAACCTTGTCTCTACTAAAAAAAAAAAAAAAAAAAATTAGCTGGGCGTGGTGGCGTGTGCCTATGATCCCAGCTACTCTGGATGCTGAGGCAGGAGAATCACTTGAATCTGGGAGGCAGAGGTTGCAGTGAGAAGAGATTGCGCCACTGTACTGCTCCAGCCTGGGTGACAGAGTGAGACTCCATCTCAAAAAAAAAAAAAAAAGAAAAGTCTGAGAAATAAATAGGTCAAATTTCATCTTTGCCTATATATTTTATATACCTGATATATAGAGTATATAATTATATATATAATTACACATATACATAATTTTTCATAAGTTTCAAAGAAAAAGAATAAGAAAATAGACCTTTATTCTCCTATATTTAACTAATAGTCCAACCAGTACTTTTTAGAACTTTCAGTTTATATTGCACTTTTTTAGATAAAGGTGATAAAAATACTGTGATGTCAAAGATTCATGCTTTCTTTTCTCCCAGGTGTTTTAGGATTTCCTGAATCCTCTAGAACAAATTTTAGGGTATCTAAAGTGAAACCTTCAACTCAAGCTGCACTTATTCAAGGAGATAGCCTAATATAGAGATTAATCCCATGTTTTGAAGTTAGACAGATCTGGGTAAAAGTTATATCTGCCACATACCTGTTGAATTATAATTCAGAAAATTGCTTAAATTCCCTAAATCCTAATTTCCATTTCTGTATATTGGTGATAAAAATACCTACCTCACAAAGATGTGGTAAGGATTAACTGAAATAACAGAGAGTGAACAATTGGTACAGTTATTGCTGAATAACAGTAGCAATTATGATTATTAATCTAAAGCTATTTGGTTGTCAAATTATGATACTAATTGTCATAAAGTTTTTTTGAAGAATTCTACCCTCCATAATGTTCCAGTAGAATAATATGTATAACTATGTCCCCACAAATAAAATACTTATTTGGAGAAACAGAAAAATGTTTAACAATGGTTCATATGTGCTAGGATCTTGGTGTCTGAGGGTTAGGCTTGCTGGGAGGAAAATTTTGCTCATGGAAGTTTATGCCAGCTGGTGGCATGTTATCTTTTGTCTTGGCTATACCCTGACCTTTCAGCTTTATAACTTCCAAATGTTTATGTAATGAGAACTGCCCTTTCAAAATTGACATAGTGATTAAAATTGAAAATGAGAGCTGAGAGTGTTCTCTAATAAATAGGCTGGATCTGAGCATACATCTGTCCAGAAAAAATCTTCTAACCAAGCCGGCACACATTTCTTTGCTTGTATCAAAAAAGTGAAGGTGACATTTATACCGTTTAATAATTTTTCTCTCCATCTGTTTATTCAGTGGTGAGATTTAAGTTGGCAAATGCTACACTCACATTGATTCTACTCCTAGCTATCTCTCAAATATTCAGCTAGATGAATATTTAGATGGATGCCTCTGAAGCTTTGTTGAACACGTAGAAATTACAATTCATAGGAAAAATCCTTTCCAGAAGAGAACAATGATCAAAGCAGAATGTTACCCTACTCTAGCAGTTCATCTTGCCAACAGACCTGACAATTCTATCAAAGTTTCCTAGATCCTTTAACAGATTTTTCTTTTTAGCTACTTTCTTTGCTTTCAATCATTCATATCTATCTATCTATCTATCTATCTGTCTGTCTGTCTGTCTGTCTGTCTATCTAATCTATCTATCATCTATAACTCACTGTTCTGAGTGACGAAAGGGGAAGAAAACTGAAAGACTAATAAAACAGTCATAGTATGCCAACTTGATACTTTTCAAAGAACATAGAGATTCATAGGAAAGATTTAATAGCCACAAAATATTTTTACTCAAATATGATTGAAATCAAGTCACAGATAAGAACTGAACAGAGAGTTTCATTTTTTTTCTTCCTCAATCTGTTTTCCTCTACCTACATTTTAATCACAGTGGCCTTCTTGTTCCTTGGACAAGTTAAGGGAGTTATTTTTGATTAGTTTTGGGACCTTTTTCACTAGCTGATCCCTCTACTTGGAATACTTAGTGTCAATATTTTTGTATAAATTCCTTTTCAACTCAATTCAACCCTTCAAGGGGGAATTCCTGCCCATTACTCTTTAACTCACTGCCCTATTTTCTTCAGAGCACTTAACTCTATGTAAAATTGTTTTATTTGTCTTTTAAAATATCTTCTTTCTTTAGAATGTAATCCGCATGATAGTAGGAACTTGTGTTTTTCCATTATCTTCCTGTGTGTAGAAAAGTGCCCGGAATATAGTAGGTGCTCCATAAATAGTTTTTGAGTAGATAAATAAATGAATAAATGAATAATATTTCCCACCCAGATTTTAGATTTCTGCTAAATTTGATTGAAGTTTGAGTCCAACACCTTTTGTTTTAAGCTGAGATCTAAAAGTTAATCACTGTAAATTATGATGACCAAACTTACCTTATGCGTGCTTTGCTCTTCTGGTAGATAGTGGGTAGCTTCTTTGATGTCAACAACCTAAATCTTCTACTTGTCCTTCCACTAAGTCCTGTATTTAAATTTGAAGGTTGCATATACATTTTTTTCATTTGCATAGAAAAGAACATTGACATGACTGAATTAAATAAATGTGACTCACTGTTCACTTTCAAGTTGTTCTAATTGACTCCCTCCTTTGGGAGATAAAATGATTGTGACATCTGAATATGCCAATTTAAAATATTCAAACATCTAAATATTTGAGTAACCATAATAATAGTTTTTCTATCATTCAAGTATTTAAAAAATTCAGAGAAGATAAAAAATTCTTTTTGCTATATAAATGTACATTATCATTGAAGCATGACATCATTTTGTGTAGTTTAAGAAAGGATACTACAATCTGAGGGATGTAAGGGAAGGGATCCTAAAAACCAGCCAGTCCAACTACTCTTCCAAATGCTTGTATTCTCTACACAAGGTTTCTTGTAAGTGATTGTCTTGTGTTGTGAGTCTATATCTGAACACCTTCATTAGCAGTGTCTATATGATGAGTGATGATCATTTCCATCTTTGGGCAATTTTAAGTGTGAAAAATGAGTGTTCTCACATTAAGCAGCTAAATATTTTTCTGAAGTGTCTTTCAATTGTTCTATTTATATTCAATGGTACATACTGGGCAATTTTATTTCCAAATACCAAAATAATTTTCCTTTTAATATTTGTATTGTGAAAATAATACAGCCTCATAATAAAAATGTAATGATGTAAAAGTATATAAAATTTAAAGTACCACTTTTTAACTCCATCCCCTAAACTCTAGTTTCCAGGGGTGGCCACTATCAAAATTTTCTTGGAGATCCTGTGAGAAATTCTCACCTAAAAACACATATATCTGCTGACATAAAGCACAAGTTGGAACATAAAATACACACTATTTTGGCTTATTTGAAATTTTACAACGGATTTATGTTTTTCCATAAAATGTATCTATGTACTTTATTCTCTTTTGTAGTTTCAGGGTGTTCCATTAGAGAAATCCTGGTTGATTTAAGTTTACATGCATGTTTGAGAATATGTATAGAGTAAGTGTTTTAAAAAGGAATTATTTGGTCATTCTTTTATTTCTGAGCAAACATTTTGCTTTCTTAAAAAAATTCTTTGTTCTAAAAAGACATAACACAAGTTTTCTTCCCAGTTTTTCCTCTTTGATAGAAAAAAGCATGAAACACTGGCAGCTCCGGTGAAAGAAAATAACAAAGAAAAAGAAAAAAGCATGTAATAACTGTGACTGAGATTAAAATTCTTTCAATTTTAGGAGAACAAGATGAGATTTTCAATACTGTCTCTAATTAGTGCCTTTGAACCCCGCTTAAGTGTACGTGTGCGTGTGCACACACACATACACAAACACCATTTTTTACATATAGCAAGTTTTTATAGTAAAAGTGTGAGATTAATTGTTGAAGTGGCATAATTTTCTCTGATTGAATTTCAAAGATAAACTTCTAGAAGTACATCAACTTACATAATTTTTCTATAGTAAGTTTTAAAAACCTTTTTATTTTAAAATAATTTTAGACTTACAGAATACTTGCAAATATAGTACTGAGTTCATGCATAACTTTACCCAGATTTCCACAATGTTAATAATTTACAAAATCATAGTACAATTATCAAAACCAGGAAGTTAACATCGGGATGATACTGTTGGCTGAACTACAGACCTGTTCAAATTTCAGTTTTTTGTATATATATATATATATATATATATATATATATATATATACATATATATTCCATAATCCAGGTAGGATTCTACCTTGCATTTAGTTGTTATGACTCCTTAGTTTTTTCTCATCTGTGACAGTTTTTCAGTCTTTCCTTATCTTTCCCTTTTGTGACACCTTTCATGAGTACTGGTCACTTATTTTATAGACTGTCTTTCAATTTGTGTTTGTCTGATGTTTTCCCCTCATTAGAATGAGGTAGTATATTTTGGGAAGAAAACGACAGAAGTAATGTCTCTTTTTCACTGAATCATAACGAGAGGAAAAAGATTTTCCCATGTATATATTACCACTAGTGGTGTAAACCTCTATTACATGACAAAAGTGATGTTTGCTAGGTTTCTCAAGTATAGTTACTATTTTCCTTTTTTAATAGACAAATATCTTGAGGGAGATATTTTGGGACTCTGTGAATATTCTATTTCTCTGCCAACTTTCACTCACTGTATTTTTCATTCACTGATGGATCTTGGTTGGAATAATTATTACAGTCATGTTTACCCAATGATGAATTTGTGTTTGCTTCATTCCTTCTCTGGTAAGAAAGGGCTGCTACTTCTCCATTTATTTATTTGCTCAATTATTTATTCATATCTATATAGACCCATGGATATTTATTTTATACTCTGGGTTATAACTAAATGCTACTGTTAATTATTTTGTTTCTCATTGTTCCAAATTTGGCTATTGGGAGGTTCTTAGTTTGGCTTCTGTATCTTTTTGACATGTCTCCATCTCTTGTGCAATCTCTGTCTTGCTTTTGGTGCTATAAAATGTTCCGGGTTCATCAGTTCTTCTGCCCCATCCCTAAGATTGTTGATTTTTCCAAGAAGCTCTAGTTTCCTTTATTAGAGTATAGTGCTTAGAAACCTAGATTTAAGTACTAACTATAGTCATTGCTTTAGAAGTATCATTGCTCCTAGGTTCTTTCAGTAGACAGAAAAAAGAAATATAAATATACCAACTCACATATTATATATACATACCTATTTGATTTCTTATATCTATCTGAATATATATTAAAAAACCATGAGTTCACACTGCCACTTTCTATCCAATTAAACTCCACAAGGTTCATATTAGATGTCACTTTTTACTTATATGTAAACTATTTCTCAAACAGAAAAATCCCTATCAATATATGCAACATATTCACTGTTAAATTTACACACACATGCACACAAGGATTGTATATAAATACACATATACTATTTATAGACACACACTATATACTATACACATACTATATATACACACACACTACCTCATATATACAGTGTGTATGTCTGTACATACAAACAGATTATATAGAAGTATATGAAGTAGTTTACATTATACAAAACATATTAAATCATATATATATACACATATATATGGTAGTTTCATGATTTTTAACCTACATCTCTATAGGTTCACTTTTTATTGTTCATATTCTCTTTTGGGTTCAGTATATAATTTAATTAAACTTTATCAAACAAGTTTGAATCCACTTACAGTCTCACCAACATTACTGAAGAATTTATTTTCCTGCATATCCACAAATCCTGTGCATTAATTGAAATTTTTTTGGCAATGTAATGTGTAAAAATTAGAATCCTATTGTGTTTTATATTGCTTTTATTTATGACTAAGATTAGGTATATTTTCCTGAATTTATAACAAATTTGTACTTTTCTATGAACTTATTCCTTATGCCATTGGCCATTTTAAAAAATGAGTTTCAGGATACAAAATCAATGTGCAAAAATCACAAACATTCCTATACACCAACAATAGATAAACAGAGAGCCAAATCATGAATGAACTCCCATTCACAATTGCTACAAAGAGAATAAAATACCTAGGAATACAGCTAACAAGGGATGTGAAGGATGTCTTCAAGGAGAACTACAAACCACTGCTCAAGGAAATCACTGAGGACACAAAGAAATATAAAAACATTTCATGTTCATGGATAGAAAAAATCAATATTGTGAAAATGGCCATACTGCACAAAGTAATTTAAACATCCAATGCTATTCCCATTAAACTACCACTGACATTCTTCACAGAATTAGAAAAACCTACTTTAACATTCATATGGAAAGGAAAAAGAGCCCATATAGCCAAGGCAATCCTAAGGAAAAAGAACAAAGCTGGAGGCATCACTCTACCATGACTTCAACTATACTACAAGGCTATAGTAAGCAAAACAGCATGGTATTAGTACAAAAACAGACACATAGAGCAATGAAACAGAATAGAGATCTCAGAAATTAGACTGCACATCTACAACCATTTGATCTTTGACAAACCTGAAAAACAAGCAATGAGGAAAGGATTCCCTATTTAATAAGTGATTCTGGGAAAACTGGCTAGCCACATGCAGAAAATTAAAACTGGACCTCTTCCTTACACCATATACAAAAATTAACTCAAGATGGATTAAAGACTTAAATGTAAAACTCAAAATTATAAAACCCTAGAAGAAAATCTAGGCAATACCATTCAGGACATAAGCATGGGCAAAGATTTCAAAAGCAATTGTGACAAAAGCAAAAATTGACAAATGAGATCTAATTAAAGAGCTTCTGCACAAAAAAGAAATTATTATCAGTGTGAACACACAACCTACGGAGTGGGGGAAAGTTTTTGCAATCTATCCAGCTGACAAAGGTCTAACATCCAGAATTGACAAGAAACTTAAACAAATGTAGAAGAAAAAACAAAAAAGCAACCCCATTAAAAAGTGAGCAAGGGACATGAACAGAGACTTCTCAAAAGAAGACATTCATGCAGTCAGCAAATATATGAAAAAAAGAGCCACATCACTGATCATTAGAGAAATGCAAATCAAAACTACAATGAGGTAGCATCACACACTAGGCAGAATGGCAATTATTAAAAAGTCAAGAAACAATAGAGGCTGGTGAGGTCATGGAGAAACAGGAACACTTTTACGCTGTTGGTGGGAATGTAAATAATTTCCACCATTGTGGAAGATGGTGTGGCTATTCCTCAAAGATTTAGAACCAGAAATATCATTTGGCTCAGCAATCCCATTACTGGGTATATATCCAAAGGAATATAAATCAATCTATTATAAAGATACATGCATGCATATGTTCATTGCAGCACTATTCACAATATCAAAGACATGGAATCAACCAAAATGCCCATCAGTGATAGACTAGATAAAGAAAACGTGGTACATATACACCATGGAATACTACACAGCCATAAAAAAGAATGAGATCTTGTCCTTTGCAGGGACATGGATGGAACTGGAAGCCATTGTCCTCAGCAAACTAACATAGAAACAGAAAACCAAATACTGCATGTTCTCACTTGTAAGTGGGAGCTGAACAATGAGAACACAACGCAGGGAGGGGAACAACACACATGGGCAGGGCGGGCACGGGAGGGAGAGCATCAGGATAAATAGCTAGTGCATGTGGGGCTGAATATGTGATGGGTTGATAGGTGCAGCAAATCACTGCGGCACGCATTTACCTATGTGACAAACCCGCATGTCCTGCACATGTATCCTGGAACTTAAAATAAAATAATATTAAATTTTTAAAAAGAGTTGTTAGTGGATTTTTACCTGCTTTTTTTCCTTACAGTAAATAAGCAAATGAGCCTTTCTTTCTCTTGTGTATGTCACAAAAAAGTCTTCAACTATTCACTTATTTTTTTGAGTATTGAAATTCATAGTTTTTATGTGTATATTTTGATAAATTAATAGAAAGAAACATATAGAACATTTTAATTGCCCTTTTATTTTTTATTAAATTTAGAGCTTTATGAAAGCTTTCAATTTACCAATTTATTTTGGTCAGAGACTTGGGTTTACGTTGTTTATAAAAAATTTTTCTACCATAAGATTTTTTCTAAAACTTTTCTTATGCTTTCTTCCAGAATTTTTATGATTTGCTTTTATATGAAAATCATTGCTTTTTAAAATGTATATCTCTGTGTTGGTTAAGATAAGGATTTGGATGTGTTGAACAAAATACAAATCTAGCATTATTTCTTTTTTTCTTTCTTCCTCATTTTTAAAATGACTGCTTAATTTCCCAACATTGCTAAGGAAATGACCCATCTTTTCTCCACTGATTTGAAATGCCATGTTCATCATATAACAAGACATCTATGTTTGAGTCTAATTCTGATGGTCTCTTCTGTTTCAGTGATCTGACTATCCATGAGCCAATTCCAAAATAATAGCATTAGAATATATTTTCACATCTAGTAGTTTTGGTTTCTCTTCCTCATACACATTCCTTTAGGATTCTTTGCTTGCTTGTTTGTTTTTCAGAATTTTCCTGGCAAATCTTACAGCCTATTTCTTATTAGGAACTTTAAAATCAGTTTGTCAGGTTAAAATTATTCTGTTCATATTTTTATCAGTATGATATCAACTTTCTAGATTAATTTAGAGAGAAATGACACCTTTAAATATGGAAAATTCCTATCCAAGAAAAAGGTGTATATTTCAATTTATCATACTCTTCTTTCCTGGACCTCAATAATATTTTACCTGCTTTTTTATAATGGCAAGTTTGAAACATATATAAAAAAGACAGCAATTAATATAATAAATTTCTATGTGCCCACCACTCAGCTTCAAGAAATATTAATCTGTGGAAAAGTTTCTTTTCATCCGTACACCTCCCTTCCGGTCATAATAGAGGAACATTGCAGGGATATAGCATTTCAATATTAAATAATTAGCATGCATGCCTAAAAGATAAGGACTTAAAAAATAGTATTATTGTCATTCCTAAAGTTAATGATTCTTTCATATCATCGATTATTCTTTATTGTTGAGATCTCCCTAATTGTCTCTAGAAATAAGGAAAACAATATATTTTAAAAAGCAATTATTTCTATACAAAAGCAAATTATAAAAATTCGAGAAGAAAGCATAGGGAAGATTTAGAAATAATTCTATGGTAGAAAAATTTTATATAAACCAAACATAAACCCAAGTCTCTGACCAATTTTAATTATAATTGATTTTTCAAATCAACATTTAAACAAAGTCCACACATTGTATTTGCTTGGTAATGTCTTTTATGTCTCTTCTTAAGTAATAATTGTAGTGAGATACACTTTATATATTATAAAATTCACCCTTTTACAGTGTATAATTCAGTGTTTCTTAGTATATTCACAGTGTTGTTAAATTATCACCACTCTAATTTTAGAACATTTTCATCACCATAAAAAGAAACCTCATACTCATTAGCAATCATTCTCAACTCCGTTCTTCCCCACACCCCTGGCAACAACTAATTTACATTTTGTCTTTTAAGACTTTTTAAACTATAAGTTTTTAATCTCAATTTTCCTCTTACTATCTATCAATATAGTAAACCGAGTTATTTACCCTATAGATTTTCCACATTCTTCATGGAGTTATTCACATGCTCCTCTGTCTCTGTGTGAGCTAAAGACATAGTTTAATGTGGTTTTGTTTTTTGTTTTTTGTTTTGCAAGAAAACTTTATAGGTGATGTTTTTCATTTCCTATTATGTCATATCAGTAGGTCCCAAATATTTCATAATCTCTCACTTTTTATTTTAAAATTAAATGGTGAGTTTGGTTATTGTAACCCTGATTTATATATTGTAAGACACTCATTGTCATTCACATAATGATGACTCTATCCTAGATTAGTTATTGTATTCAGATTTTTGACATGGTGATACTACATGAAACTGTCATCCCTCTTAATTTATTAGATGGAAGTTTTCTACATTGAAATTGCCCTCATCAGTTACATGATTAATGAGTACAATTTTAAAAATGCATGATACATTCTTAATTCTGCCATTTTTGGGGTCACTTTTCAGAGTAATGAGTTGATTTCTTCACATAATCCAAAAATGAATGATGGGCATTATGTCTTTCTCATTTAAGTATTGTTAGAAATTTATGAATGTTAACACTGTATATTGATGTATGTTGATCCATTGTAGATAGGATACTCTTTCATGTTCAGTTGTCTATCTGAAGACTGTCTTTGACCAGCTGTCCATCTGAGGGAACTGTTTTAAGTTAGACTCTTTTTTTTTTATCTAGCTTGAGTAGGTTTCAATAGCTTCCTTGCTTGCTATAAGAAAATGTGTTTTAGGCTTATCTTGTATATTTCTTGCCACAGAGCTGGAATTAGCCATTTCTTCAAAGAGTTCTGTTTTTGTTTTTGTTTGTAAGAAATTATATTTAGAGACCTTAATAAGCTGTCTAAGAATGATCAATCATTGCTTTGGGGTTGGTCATTGTTTCTAAGCCTTTTCAGTGGACATAGCTAGAAAATATGCATTTCAAAAACCATGAGTTCATTCTAATAGTTTCTATAAAATTTTGTTTGTACATTGACCTTGAGATTTTTGGGATTTTGTGTAGATGCTCATGTTGCTTTGAATAGAGATAGTTTTAATTCTTTCTACGCCTTGATCTGTGTGATTTTTTTTTGCCTTATTACACTGGCCAGAATTTTAGTAAAGTGTTGGAAATGAATGATAAGAGGATATCCTTGTCTTCTTCCTAATTTTAGGAAAAAAATGTTCAAACTTTCACTTATATAATGTGAGTTTTAGTTTTTTGTTGATGTTCTTTCAAGTCAGGAAGTTTTCTTCTAGTCTTCATTTGCTAATTATTTCATCATCAATGAGTCTAATTTTTTAGACATTTCTCTACTAAATTGAGATTATCATATAGTTTCTTAAAAAGCCAGTTAATACGATTACATTCATAAGTTGATATTTAATTATTAATTCCACTATGCATTCTTAGAAAAACCCCACTTGGTAAAGATATATCATCCTATTAATATATTGCTGGATTTTATAAGTCATAATTTAGATGAGGATTTTTTATCTGTGTTCATAAGGAGCATTAATCTGTGTTTTTCTTGTAATATCTTTGTCATATTTTAGTATCAGAGTAATGCTGGCCCTATGAAATGAGTTTAAGAGTGGTCTCTTTTGCACTTTGGGAGGCCGAGGCGGGCAGATCATGAAGTCAGGAGATGGAGACCATCCTGGCTAACACGGTGAAACCCCATCTCTACTGAAAGTACAAAAAAATTAGCCAGGCGTGGTGGCCGGCGCCTGTAGTCCCAGCTACTTGGGAGGCTGAGGCAGGAGAATGGTGTAAACCCCGCAGGCGGAGTTTGCAGTGAGCGGAGATCGCGCCACTGCACTCCAGCCTGGGCGACAGGGCGAGACTCTGTCTCAAAAAAAAAAAAAAAAAAGAAAAAAAGAAAAAAAAGTGGTCTCTTGTCTGAAAGCTTTTGTAGAGAGTTGATATTATTTATTCTGAAATGTTCAGTAAATATCAACAATAGAGCCATTTTGATCTAATGCTCTGTTGTAGGAAGATTTTATTTGAAAATTTAATTTATTTAACTATATAGGAATCTAACCTTGTGGCATATACTGTATTCAGTTTTTTAGATGTTTCATGAAGGAAGATAAATCCATTCCTAGTTACTCCATCTTGACTGTTATAAAAGTCTACCTTTGTTAGGTTTTGGTAATAATAATATTCTGGCATTATAAAAAATTGTAAGATTATCTTCTCTATAATTTGCAACAGTTTACAGGGTATTTGTGTTTTTACTAATTAAAGATTTGATAAGATTTGATAAAATATTCTTCATCATGGCTGGGGGTGGTGGCTCACACCTGTAATCCTAGCCTTCTGGGAGACCAGGGTGGGTGGATTGCTTTAGCTCAGGAATTCAATACCATCCTGGGCAACATGGTGAAACCCCATCTCTACTTAAAATACAAAAATGCCTATAGTTCCAGCTTGTTGGGAGGCTGAGGCAGGAGAACCACTTGAACACGGGAGGTCGAGGCTGCAGTGAGCCAAGATGACACTACTGCACTCCAGCCTGGGGGACAATGTGAGACACTATCTCAAAAAAAAAAAAAAAAAAGAAAAGAAAAGAAAAAGAAAAATTCTTCATCAGTGTCTCTTTGGAATAACTCTGGCTATTCTCTTAGTGCCTTCCACAAGTAGCTATTTTTTCTGGAGCTAATTTTTTAAATTTATATTTCCCTAGCTAATCAAAAACTTCTTTAAGAATTTTAAATTTAATTGCATAGAATTAAGCAAAGCATTTTATTTAACTTCTTTGAATTTTCTCTGTACCTGAATTCATTTCTCTGTTCTCATAACCAATTGTGCGATTTCATGCTTTCTCGTTTTCATATTTTACCTTTTCTAAGAACAAACTCTGATTTATCAACTAGTTCTAGTAGTATAGTCATTAAGAGTAAAGGCTTTGGAGTCAAACTGCCTGTTTTCAAATCTCAGTTCCACTGCGGCATGACCTTGCATAAGTTACTTAACACTTACATGATTTGGTTTTCTCACTTACAAAATGAAAATAATAATAGTTGTCTACTTTATACAGTAATCAATAAAGATTAAAAATTTTAATAATTGATTTACACATTTGAAAGAACACCTGAATAGGCAGTATATGTGTTTGATGTTATTATTGTTCTTGTTCATATTTTTCTGGATTTTGTTGTTGTTGTTGTTAATGGCCTTTTTCTGTTTTGCTTTTGTTTAGTCCTGTTTTTTTTCTTTAACTTCTTCATTCAAATACATTTTTTCCCTTAAAAAGCATTTTAAAATTTTAAGTAGTTTCTTAGTGTTTTTAATGTTATAAAATTTCCTGTGGAAACTATATTAGTCATATACCATAGGTTCTGACATATATGTTATAGTTACAGATTTTTGGCATATTATACTTGCTCTTTGACCCAGTTTTAGTTTAAAATAATTTTATTTCCCAACTTTTAAAAGTATTGGTTTCTTTTCTATTTTTATTATTGATTTCTTGTCTCATGATCACAACATGGATTATTTGCTATGTAACAATTTGACTCATATTAATATTTTTATTGGAACTAATATGTGTCAATTTTGAAAAGTGTTCACTTAAAGGAAAATTGTATGTCTTTATGGAAATGTATCATCTTTGTTTATGAAAAATATGAGAACAATCTTTCTCTTAATTCTTGTTTTTTTATTTTTTCTGCATAGATTTATAGATTATTCTTTACTTCACCAAGATACATTTCGGTTTTGATTATTCCCTATAATTTTTTTCCTGAAACAGGAATTGCAATTTTTTACCTTGTATTTGCATGTCCTAGATTGTTCTATTCAGTTTTCTTGGTTTCTTTAGAACCGGCAATTATAAAATGTGGCTCTTCTTTTGTATGATTTCGGTATCTTTTTTTTGTTTTACCTCAATCATTTCTAGTCATTTGCTGTGAGTTATTTAATATTGCTGTGTGCTCAGGTATATTTATATTCTGCATATCAGTGGGTATTTTTAACAGTATATATTTGTCTTTTTGATATCTATAATTGGGGTTTCATTTTCTGTAGTTATTGCCTTTTTCATTTTTCCTTGCTAATTTGTGCATTCCATCTGTTTTCCTATTGTAATTTCATTGATTATTTTGTCTTGTTGCATATTGAAAATTTTCCATGTTCAATATTTATAAAAATTTAAAGTTCAGATATCCTTTCACCCAGAAATTCTACTCCTAGGAATTTATCCAATGAGTATTCTTAAAAACAGCTCCCATGATATATGTACGAGAATGCTCACTGAAGTGTTTATGATAGAAAAAAATTGAAAACACCAAAGTCTTTTAGTAATAGAATCTTTAACTTGGTTGTGGAATACATTGTTGTTTAAAAGAATTAGATAGGCCTATATATACAAAAAAGAAAAATTTCTAAGATATAATAATAAGTGAAAAAGGCAAGGCATAAAAAATTGTGTATAGTAATATAGCTTTATGTAATTTTTAATAAAAATAAATGAATGAAGAGATTAGTAGACAGATATATGCATAAGTTGTTTTTAAAAGAAATCACAGAAAACTCTTGGGATTAGCTGTGGAAGTGGTGACTGAGGCAATAGGAAAAGCACTTTTTTTTTTTTTTACTTAAATGTTCTAAGTATGATTTTAACTTTTTCAAGCTATTAAGAAGGGTGAGTTTATAGTCACTGTTTGTCTTTATAATTCTTTGAATTAAGAAAGACCCAATCATGTGATAAGAATGGAAAATTCTTATTGGATATCTACTTAGATATAAAGCAGATTTCTTTCTGACTACTGCTTACCTTTGAATTATGGCTATTCTATTTAGCAATATGACAGAAGTTGTAATCAGTACTTGGTTAAAAAGATGCATAAATGGAAAGCTTCAAGGTAGTCATGCTGTCTCACAATGCCTTCACACCTTCTCTGTCTTGTACCTTGTCACCATTGTGTCTCCTTTTGGAATTAGATATAAGTGGCCTAGAGAAAAGCCCTGCAATGCCAAGGGTTTTTGCTTCATTATATTTTAAATTCAGATTTAGTGTTTGTATTAGCTTGCTAGGGCTGACATAACAAAATATCACAAACTAGATGGCTTAAACAACAGAAATTAATTTATCGCAGTTTAGGAGACTGAAATCCAGTATCAAGGTGTCAGCAGCTTCGGTTTTTCCCAAGGCACATCTCTTTGGCTTTCAGATTGCCATCTTCTTTCTGTGTCTTCACGTGGCCTTCCTCCTGTGTATCTGCATCTTTGGTCTTTCTTCTTCTAAGAACACCAGTCAGATGGGATTAAGGCCCCACCTGTGACCTCACTTAACCTCAATTACATTCTTAAATAGCCAGTTTCCAAATATAGCCACATTGGAGGTTAGATTTTCAACATATAATTTTGTCAAGGGGTGGGAGGACACAATTCAGCCCACAACAATGTTGATTTATCTTTGGTTGACTTTGATCCACAGTCAAAACTGGCTGCACTCATGGCGTGTCCTTTCACTCTGGCACTCTGCCTCTGCTAAGGTTGTCTTGTCTCCCAAATTCCTCATTCTGCCCTCTCCCTCTGCTTCTCTGTAGTGTGAAATAGCTATGGTGATACTCCCACACTTTTCACTTCTCCTGACATTCTTATTACAAGAAGAGTCACTAGTTGAGCTCCTTGGGCTTGACTAATCATAGGGAGACAGTATGATGTGAAAGATTGATAGGTGCTGACATCCTCTCAGAAAGCTTTCTTAATTTGGTATGAATTTCATTGGCTTTGGCAGCTCTCGTTCATAGTTTCTGGTTTATCTGTGCCTTCTATGTTTTATTGCAGAATAAATTGTCTCCTCTCTTTTCCATTTTCTTTGGTTTTAGTTGGCATCAAGAAGAGTGGGGTGAAATACCTTCATTTTGTCATTACATTCAGTTTCAGATAAATTATTCAGGATTATTATTAATATTATGAGAGTTCTAAAGAGACAACTGTGGATATTATATACTGATAAATCTTTAATCTTTCCTCAAAATATTTGTTTGTACTAAATATAATAATAACTATAACCATCAACATTTATTGAGCTCTTACTGTGTGTCAGGTATTATACTGCCTACAAGGTAAACTAATCTGTTCCTTAAAACCACTCTGAAACAGGAAAAACAGCATTACGTTTTACAAATGGGATATTTATTTAGGACACACAAATGATAAATGTTGCAGCTGGATATAAATGCCTATTCTCAGCCACTATGTTGTAGAGATTATCTTTGAATGAAAAGAAACAAAGACAATCAAAGAAATAAATACAAAAGAACAACAGCAACAGCAATAACAAAACACATCTCAGTACCTTATAATGCTATATTCTTCCTGATTATTGTATTTCTAATAACATCACTGAAATATATGTTAACTCACCTTATAAATGTACCCATAGAATAAAATGAATACATACATGTTATGGTTATTATTAGATAATTTTCATTGGCAGAAGGAACATATTGCCTCTAATGTGAGTAGCCTATTTGTTTTATAGTTATTTACTTCTTTATACACCAAATCTACTCTACATAGGAAATAAAGCCTTGGCACTGCTCAGTTTACACTAATATAGCCAATACAGACTGATGCAGTTTGCTCTCCATGCTCAAATATCTATTAACGTGGAGAAAATCTGGATTATCTGGTACTGAATGTGCAAAAATGACTTTAGCATTCTGCAATGGATGATTGAATACATCCTTGGATCAAATTATCAAGGTTTAATTGAACTACAAATCCAAGGATAATTGTAATAGAACTCCAGTCCAAAATAGGACAAAAATATTTTAAGCTTTAGTTAATGAACAGAGGCAAATGGTAACTTCTGCTTATGTTATGGCATCTTTTGATGATATTAGTGATTTAAAAAGTATGTCATTGCAATTAAAATTAAATTAAAAAATTTAACAGTTGTAGGGTAGTAACTATATAGTAGCCATTCATTTGTCAATAAATGAGCAAATTGTAACAATAAAATATTTTAAAATAATATAAGTCTTTATCTGTATTTTGAGTTCTTCAGAGCTGGATTGGCTGGGCATGAAGGCTTGCACCTGTAATCTCAGCAACTTGGGAAGCCAAGATGGGAGGATCACTTGGTGCCAGGAGTATGAAACTAGCCTGAGCAATATAGGAAGACCCCATCTTTACAAAAAATAAAATAAAAATTAGTTGGGCATAGTGGTGCATGGCTGTGGTCCCAGCTACTCGGGAGGCTGAAGAGGGATCACTTGAGCCCAGGAGTTGGAGGTGCATGAACTATGATCATGCCACTGAACCCCAGCCTCGGTGACAGAGCAAAACCCCATCTCTTAAAAAATAGCTAGAAGTCAAAAAAAAGAAAAAGAGAGAGAGAGAGAGAAGATAGTCTAGTGTGTACAGAATGCACTGAATTAAACTTTAGTTCAACATTATGCCAAAAAAAGCTAGAAGTTTCTTTATACAATTAACACAGTATTAGGTTTCTAATGGTTGCTAAATAGCATGTTTTATTTGCATGTATGAATGGTTATTTTTTGGAGGAAATAGATTAATAGATGTGTTAGTTCATTCTGCATTGCTATAAAGGAATACCTGAGACGGGGCAACTTATAAAGAAAAGAAGTTTATCTGGCTTATGGTTCTGCAGGCTGTATACACAGCATAGTGCTGGCACCTGCTTCTGGTGAGGTCTTCAAGAAGTTTTCACTGATTGCAGAAGGCAAAGAGGAACCACTGTGTGACATGGTGAGAGTGGGAGTAAGAGAGAGAGAAGGAGGAGGTGCCAGACTCTTTCAAACAACCAGATTTGCAGAAACTCATAGTGTAAGAACATATTCATTACCATGAGGACAACACCAAGTCATTAATGAGAGATTCTCCTCCATGACCCGAACACCTCCCACGAGGCCCACCTCCAACATTGGAGGTCACATTTCAGCATAAGATTTGGAGGAGACAAAACATCCAAGCCATATCAGTAGATAAGGTATATTATATTCCATTCATTATAAAGGTCATATCAACTGATTTTTTAAAAAGAAGGTTTGCTTACTGAAATAGAGAACATATACTAGTTAGTACTGCAGTTGCCACTGTCAATACTTTATCTGGTATATTGAATGAACTCGTTGGCTTAGAATTACCAAAATTAAGACACATTCATATTCACTGAACATTGACTGAATCCCTGATAAGATTTGAGAGCTGTGATGTTTATTTCTGAAATATTTATAAAAGTGTCATTACTTAAAAATTCACATTTGCAAATGCATAAAAACTAAAGATAAAAATAATTGAGTAAATCAATATGACAAAATTATAGAGATGGTGAAGAGATTAGTGGATGTTAGGATTTAGAGATGAGAAGAAAGAGAGAGGGAGAACGGCTATAAACGTTAGCATGAAGATTTCAGTGGTAATGGGATAGCTCTGTATCTTGATGTTTACTGCACATATCTACACATGTAATAAAGTGACATAGAGCTATGTATACACATTATAACAATATCAGTTTTCTAGGTGTGATATTGTTCTGTAGTTACATAAGAAATGGGAAGAACTGGGTGAATGATACATAGAACCTTTCTGTACTATTTTTGCAACTTCTTGTAAACCTATAATTATTTGAAAGTAAAAGTAGAAAAAATGATCAGAGTTAACTGACTTATAAAATAGTTATATTTTTCCCTCAGGATTTACATTTAAATGTTTTCTACAATCCTAGTTTGAATGATGCTATTTACAAGCTGTACGTACTTCCGTTTTTGACAAGCAGTTGCAGGTGGCATATCAGCTCATCAAACGCATCATGTACTCTTGTTTCTAAGTGGTGAACACATGGCATTCAATCTGATATTTTTCTTTGGAGGGCAGAATTTTTCAAGTGTTTTGGTTGAAACACTGTTGTGACACTTGCTCGTTTCTACCTTTATTGCAAATATAGTCTTATGTATTTCACCAGTACAATAAAAAATTTGAAGTATTGGAGTTGTCTTCATTTTATAGTTTCTCTGTAATGTCAAGTGTTCTTTGAAACAATATATCAATATTCTGTTATCCACAGATTCTTTCTTGTGTTTATATATATTACACAGAGATGAATGGTGTAGAACCTCCTCACGATGTATAAATAATGCTGCAAGACATATCACTGGCATCTTAGTATGTATAAAAGTGTACAAGAAAGATATAAGAATTCTCTTGTCCTGCCTGTCTCTGTCAATTCTAGGAAGCCTCAACAGGAAAAAAAAATCTATCTCTTTTCAATTTGCATTTTGCTGAAAACCAGTGAAACTGAGTATTTTCATGTTTATTCCCATTAGTGTTACTTGTATAAATTGTCTCTTTATAGTGATTTGCTTATTTTTTCTATGTAGATAATAGCTCTTTCCTGTTTGATTTAAAGAGCTGCTTTTATCTAATTATACAGAACTTTTCTTGTATATGTTGCAAATATTCCTCCTTAAGTATCTTCAGTGGCAGGAGAGTAAATATGGTGTGTTTAGGGAAAAGAAGAAAAGAAAGAAGGAGGGAAGGAAGGGAGGGAGGGAGAAAGAAAGAGAGAAAGAGAGAAAGAAAGAGAGAGAGAAAGAAAGAAAAGTGTTTAGGGAAAAGAAGAAAAAAGAAAGAAAAAGAAAAAGAAAAGAAAGAAAGAAAGAGAAAGAAAGAAAGAAAGAAAGAAAGAAAGAAAGAAAGGCAGGCAGGCAGGCAAGCCTAATGTGTCCGATGTGCAGAGAATTGAAGAGTTAGCAGAAGTGGAAAACTGTTGGAGATACAGAAATATGTAGGCTGTGTGAAGGACTTTAGTTTTTATCCCGGCAATAAGAAGTCATTGAAATGTTTTAGGTTGGGCTTGTGGCTGGGAAGAAGTGTGGAGATGATAGTGGTGCTATAATTGAAGTTTATTATAAAATTCAAAATAATCTATCTGAATGTCTTAGCAAAGACAATGAAACAAAGTAAGTATTCAACAAATATCTGTCATTCATTGTTAATATAATGATTATTACTAACATTCCTGTCAAAAGGACACTGAAGTCTGGTGAGCTTAAATGACTATTCCAATGTTACAGCTTTAAGAATCACAGATAGCTGTTTCTAGGCTACATCTCATTCTCATTCTAATATCTGGAGTGTGAGTATTTCTAAAGCAAGCAATTCATGAGCTCACAACACAAACCCAGCAAGAGGAGTGATCTTGTTACAGACCAAAACATTAGGAGTATTAACAACAAAATTTTAATCATGCAATTAAATTTAATCATGCAATTGGGTCACTCTCATGAGATTCATACCAAGTACATGTGATTAATGTATTGGAGGCCAAAAGACTCAGTTACAATAGCATTTACAAAGAGTAGGTTTTGGGAAACAATATTATCTTCAGTATAAAGTTAGTCTGCAGGATTTACAAGTGCCATTTTCCAAAATTAAATAATCTGCAAGCTTCATGTTCACAAGTGTGCACATATTCTGTGGGCCCTCAATAAACAGTAGCTGACTGACTGACAGATAAACACCGCCATAAACAGATAAATACTTCTAAGTGAATAGTTGCCATATATTTAAAGAGGCAGTATCGGATCTATGTGTATCAACTGAAGATTAAATATATGAGAAACATAGCAGAAATGTAATAGTAAAAATGTTTTTCTAAATTGTGAGTTCTCCAAATAGTAAAGTCCAGTAATTATTAATGTATTCCAGATAAAAGTTTTATTAAGTAACTTTACCCCACAAAATGAGTGCTCTTCAAAGATTATAAATAAATCCATTTTTATAATTTCAAATCTTTAACCTGCCTATCAATTAATTTTTGTCTTTATTTCTTCTAAAAAAAACTCAACAAGATACATGTGCAGAACGTTCAGGTATGCTACATAGGTATAAATGTGCCATGGTGGTTTGTTGCACCTATAGACCCATCCTCTAAGTTCCCTCCCTTCAAACCTACCCCCAACAGTCCCTGGTGTATGTTGTTCCTCTCTCTGTTCTCAGTGTTCAGCTCCCACTTATGAGTGAGAACATGCGGTGTTTGGTTTTCTGTTCCTGTGTTAGTTTGCTGAGGATGATGGCTTCCAGCTTCGTTTATGTCCACGAAAAGGACATGATCTCATTCCTTTGTATGGCTGCATAGTATTCCATGGTGTTTATGTACCACATTTTCTTTATCCAGTCTATCATTGATGGGCATTTCAGTTGGTTCCATGTCTTTGGTATTGTGCTCCAATAAACATATGTGTGCATGTGTCCTTATGGTAGAATGATTTATATTCCTTTGGGTAGACACCCAGTAATGGGGTTGTTGGGTCAAATGGTATTTCTGGTTCTAGATCTTTGAGGAATTGCCATACTGTCTTCCAAAATGGTTGAACTAATTTACATTCCCAACAACAATGTAAAAGCATTCTTATTTCTCCACAACCCTGCCAGTATCTATTGTTTTCCTGACTTTTTAATTGCCATTCTGACTGGTGTGAGATGGTATCTCATTGTGGTTTTGATTTGCATTTCTCTGATGATCAGTGATGAGCTTTTTAAAATATGTTTGTTGACTGCATAAATGTCTTCTTTTGAGAAGTGTCTGTTTATATCCTTTGCCCACTTTTTGATGGGGTTGTTTGTTTTCTTCTTGTAAATACGTTTAAGTTCCTTGCAAATTCTGGATATTAGACTTTTTTCAGATAGGTAGATTGAAAAAATTTTCTCCCATTCTGTAGGTTGCCTGTTCACTCTGATGATAGTTTCTTTTGCTGTGCAGAAGCTCTTTGGTTTAATTGGATCCCATTTGGTAATTTTGGCTTCTTTTGCAATTGCTTTCGGGATTTTTATCATGAAGTCTTTGCCTGTGCCTATGTCCTGAATGGTATTGCTTAGGTTTTGTTCTAGGGCTTTTATGGTTTTGGGTTTTACATTTGAGTCTTTTATCCATCTTGAGTTAATTTTTGTATAAGGTATAAGGAATGGGTCCAGTTTCAGTTTTCTGCATATGGCTAGCCAGTTTTCCGAGCACCATTTACTGAATAGGAGATCCTTTCCCCATTGCTTGTTTTTGTCAGGTTTGTTGAAGATCAGATGGTTGTAGATGTATAGTGTTATTTCTGAGGCCTCTGTTCTGCTCCATTGGTCTATACGTTTGTTTTGGTACAAGTGCCATGCTGTTTTGGTTACTGTAGTCTTGCAGTATAGTTTGAAGTCAGGCAGTGTGATGCCTCCAGCTTTGTTCTTTTGGCTTAGGATTGTCTTGGCTATATGGGATCTTCTTTGATGCCATATGAAATTTGAAATAGTTTTTTTCTAATTCTGTGAAGAATGTTAATATTAGTTTGATGGCAATAGCATTGAATATATAAATTACTTTGGGCAGTATGGCCATTTTCACAATATTGATTCTTACTAGACATAAGTATGGACTGTTTTTCCATTTGTGCTTTCTATTATTTCCTTGAGCAGTGGTTTGTAGTTCTCCTTGAAGAGGTCCTTCACGTCCCTTGTTAGCTGTATTCCTAGGTATTTTATTATCTTTGTAGCAATTGTAAATGGGAGTTCATTCATGATTTGGCTGGCTGCTTGCCTATTGTTGGTGTAAAAGAATGTTTGATTTTTGCACATTGATTTTGTATCCTGAGACTTTGGTGAAGTTGCTTATTGGTTCAAGAAATTTTTGGGCTGAGATGATGGGGTTTTCTAAATATAAAATCACATTATCTACAAACAGAGGCAACTTGACTTCCTTTTTCATATTTCAATACCCTTTATTTCTTTATCTTGCCTGATTGCCCTGGCAAGAACTTCCAATATGTTGAATAGGAGTGGTGAGAGAGGGCATTCTTGTTTTGTACCAGTTTTCAAAAGGAATGCAACCAGCTTTTTCCATTTAATATGATATTGGCTAAGGATTTGTCATAAATAGCTCTTATTATTTTGAGATATGTTCCATCAATACCTAGTTTATTGAGAGTTTTTAATATGAAGGGATGTTGAATTTTATCAAAGGCCTTTTCTGCATCTATTGAAACAATCATGTGGTTTTTGTCTGTGGTTCTGTTTATGTGATAGACTACATTTATTGATTCACGTATGTTGAACCAGCCTTGCATCCCAGGGATGAAACCAACTTGATCGCGGTAGATAAGTTTTTTGATGTGATGCTGGGTTCCGTTTGCCAGTATTTTATTGAGTATTTTTGCATTGATGCTCATCAGTGATATTGGTCTAAAGTTTTCTTTTTTTGTTGTGTCTCTTCCCAGTTTTGGTATCAGGATGAATAACAACATGATGAAAGGATCAAATTCACACATAACAATGCTAACTTTAAATGTCAATAAGCTAAGTCCCCCAATTAAAATACACAGACTGGTAAATTGAATAAGGAGTCAAGACTCATTGGTGTGCTATATTCAGGACACCCATCTTATGTGCAAAGGCAAACACAGGCTGAAAATAAAGGGATGAAGGGAAATTTACCAAGCAAATGGAAAGCAAAAAAAGCAGGGGTTGCATTCATAGTCTCTAACAAAACAGGTTTGACACTAAAAATATAAAAAAAAAAAGACCGGCCTTAGACAATGATAAAGGGAACAATTCAACAAGAAGCGCTTTGTATTATATATATATATATATATATATATATACACACACCCAATACAGGAGCACCCAGATTCATAAAACGAGTTCTTAGAGAGCTACAAAGAGACTTAGACTCCCACACAATAATAGTGGGATACCTTAACACCCCACTGTCAGTATTAGACAGATCACTGAGACAGAAAATTAACAAGGATATCCAGGACTTGAACTCAGCTCTGGATTAAATGGACCTAGTAGACGTCTACAGAACTCTCTACCCCAAATCAACAGAATATATATTCTGCTCAGTACCACATGGCACTTATTCTAAAATCGACCACATAATTGGAAGTAAAACACTCCTCAGCAAATACAAAAGAATGGAAATCATAACAGTTTCTCAGACCACAATGCAATCAAATTAGATCTCAAGATTAAGAAACTCACTCAAAACCACATAATTTCATGGAAATGGAACAACCTGCTCCTGAATGACACTAGGTAAATAATGAAATTACAGCAGAAATTAAGAAGTTCTTTAAAACCAATAGGAACAAAGAGAAAACATACCAGAATCTCTGGGACACAGCTAAAGCAGTGTTATGCAGGAAGTTTTTAGCACCACGTGCCCACATCAGAAAGTTAGAAAGATCTCAAATCTACACCCTAACATCACAATTGAAAGAGTTAGAGAGGCAAGAGCAAACTAATCCAAAATGTATCAGAAGGCAAGAAATAACTAAGCTCAGAGAAGAATTGAAGAGAAAGAGACATGAAAAACTCTCCAAAAAATCAACAAATCCAGGAGCTGTTTTTTTAAAACATTAACAAAATAGATAGACTGCTAGCTAGACTAATGAAGGAGTAGAGAGATAAGAATCAAATAGATGCAATAAAAAATGATAAAGGGAATATCACCACTGACCCCACAGAAATACAAGCTACCATCGGAGAATACTATAAACACCTATATGCAAATAAACTAGAAAATTTAAGAGAAATGGATAAATTCCTGAATGCATACACCCTCCCAAGACTAAACCAGGAAGAAGTGGAATCCCTGAATAAACCAATAACAAGCTCTGAAATTGAGGCAGTAATTAATAGCCTACCAACCAAAAAAAGCCAAACACCAGGCAGATTAATAGCTGAATTTGACCAGAAATACAAAGAAGAGCTGGTACCATACTTTCTGAAACTATTCAAAACAATTGAAAAGGGGGGACTCTGTCCTAACTCATCATAAAATGAGTTAGCCATCAGTTACTTTTTAAATAAAGATGACAGTGACCTTGCTAATATGTGTGATATTTCTTGAGAGGCGGAATATAAGGAAACAGACTAGGCAATGAATTCAATGAAAAAAAAAAGGGCAAAGCATCTGAACAGAGATTTCTCAAAAGAAGACATACAAATGGTCACCAAGTATATGAAAAAAATGCTCATCCTCACCAATCATCAGGAAAAAGCAAATCAAAACTACAATAAGATATCATCTGACTCACATTAGAATGGAAATCATCAAAAAGAAAAAATAAGAAATACTGCAAAGGATTTGGAGAAAAGGGAACTCATACACTCTTGGTAGAAATATAAATTAGTACGGCCATTATGGAAAAGAGTATGGAGGTTTCTAAAGAAAACTAAAAATAGAACTGCCATATGATTTAGCAATCTTACTACTGGCTATTTATCCAAAGGAAAAGAAATCAGCATATTGAAGAGATATCTCCACTCCCATATTTATTGTATTTCTATTCACAATAGTCAAGATATTAAATCAACCTAAATGTTTATCAATAGATGAATGAAGATAATGCTGTACGTATACAAAATGAAATACTATTCAGTTATAATAGGAATGAAATCCTGTCATTTGCAGCAACATGGATAAGCCTAGAGGACATTCTGTTAAGTGAAATAAATCAGGCATAGAAAGATAAATGCTGAAGGTTCTCATTCATGTATAGGAGCTTTAAAAAAGTTGAACTCATAGACCTTATAGATGCAGATATTGGATTGTAGTTATTCGAGGCTAAAAGGGTAAGGAGGAGAGGAGGATAGAGAGAAGTTGATTAACAGCTAAAAAGTTAACAGTTAGACAGGAGGAATAAGTTCTGTTGTTCTGTAACAATAGAGGGTTAATATGGTTCAAAACAATATACTGTATATTTTCAACAAGCTGGAAGAGAAGTTGTGAATGTTCAGAACACAAATAAATGATAAATGTTCAAAGTGATGGATGTATTAGATACCCTGATTTGATCATTGTATTAGTCTGTTCTCACACTGCTATGAAGAAATACTAGAGATTGGGTAATTTATAAAGAAAAGAGGTTTAATTGACTCGCAGCTTTGCATGGCTGGAGAAGCCTCAGGAAACTTACAAGTATGGTGGAAGGGGAAGCAAATATGTCCTTCTTCACATGGTGGCAGGAGAGAGAAGTGTTGAGTGAATGGGGGAAAAAGTTCCTTATAAAACTATGAGATCTCATGAAAAATCACTCACTGTCATGAGAACAGCATGGGGGAACTGCCCCCATGATCTAATCACCTTCCACAAGGTCCATTCCCCAACATGTGGAGATTACAATTTGGATGATAAATCAAGATAAAATTTGGGTGAGGACACAGAGCCAAGCCATATCATTCTGCCCCTGGCTCCTTCCAAATCTCATGTTCTAACATTTCAAACACAATTAAGCCATTCCAACAGTCTCCCAAAGTCTTAACTCACTTCAGCATTAACCCGGAAGTCCAAGTCCAAAGTCTCATCTGAGACAAGTTCCTTCTGCTTATGAGCCTGCAAAATCAAAAACAGTTTAGTTACTCCCTTGAAACAATGGGGGTACTGACATTGGGCAAATACACCTGTTCCAAATGGGAAATATTGGTCAAAACAAAGGGGCTACAGGACCCATGCAAGTCCAAAATCCAATAAGCCAGTCATTAAACCTTAAAGTTCCAAAATAATCTCCTTTGACTCCATGTCTTACATCCAGGTAATGCTGATGCAAGAGATGGGCTCCCATGGCCTTAGGCAGCTCCACCTCTATGGCTTTGCAGTGTACAGACCCCTCCCAGCTGCTTTCATGGTTAGTGTTGAATGTCTTCAGCTTTTCCAGGTGCACAGTGCAAGTTGTTCATGGATCTACTATTCTGAGTTCTAAAGGATGGTGGCCCTCTTCTCACAAATTTGCTAGGCAGTGCTCCAGTGGGGACTCTTTGTGGGGTTCCCAACCCCACATTTCTCTTCCACACTGCACTAGCAGAGGTTCTTTATGAGGGCTCCACCCATGCAGTAAACTTCTGCCTGGACATCCAAGCATTTCCATACATCCTCTGAAATCTAGGTGGAGGTTCCCAAACCTCAATTCTTGACATCTGTGCATTTGCAGGCCCAACACCACGTGTAAGCTTCCAAGGATTGGGGTTTGCACCCTCTGAAGCAATGGCCTGAGGTGTACATTGGCCCCATTTAGTCATAGCTAGGGTGGAGGGCACCAAGTCCTGAGATTGTACAAACCAGCAAGGCTCTGGGCCTGGCCCATGAAACTACTTTTTCCTTCTAGGCCTCCAGGCCTGTGATGGGAGAGGCTGCCACAAAGTTTTCTGACATGCCTTGGAGACATTTTCCCCATTGCCTTGACCATTCACATTCGGCTCCTTGTTACTTATGCAAATTTTTACAGCCAGCTTGAATTTCTCCTTAGAAAATGGGACTTTTCTCTATTGCATCTCCAGGCTTCATATTTTCCAAACTTTATGCTCTGTTTCCCTTTTGAAACTGAATGCCTTTAACAGCACGCAGGTTACCTCTTGAATGCTTTGCTGCTTAGAAATTTCTTCTACCGGGTACCCTAAATCTTCTCTCTCAAGTTTAAAGTTCCACAGATCTCTAGGGCAGGGACAAAATGCACCACCAGTCTCTTTGCTAAAATGTCTTTTGCTCCAGTTCCCAACAAGTTCCTCATCTCCATCTGTGAACACATCAGCCTGGATTTCATTGTCCATATCATTACCAGCATTTTGGTCAAAGCCATTCAACAAGTCTCTAGGGAATTCCAAACTTTTCCACATTTTCATCTTCTTCTGAGCCTTTCAAACTGTTCCAACCTTTGCCTGTTACCCAGTTCCAAAGTCACTTTCACATTTTGGGGTATCTTTTCAGCAATGTCCCACTCTACTGGTACTAATTTTGGATTTTGGAGTTGTATGGGGCCTCTGGCCCCTTTGTTTTGGCCGATTTCTCCCATTTGGAATGGCTGTATTTACCCAATGCCTGTACCCTTATTGTATTTAGGAAGTAACTAACTTGCTTTTCATTTTATAGGTTCATAGGTGGAAGGGAATTGCATTGTCTCCAGTGAGATTTTGGACTGGGATACTGTTTGTGTAATAATGCCCATTGTTCATTAAGACACCATTTGAACATATGTCAGAAATCATTATGTAGTAAAGTACAACAACATTTATTCCCTCCAACTTTTCTTTTAGTTTCTCTATTTAACCCACGATCAGAGAATTTAGTATTCTTTTTTTTTCTGAGATGGAGTTTTGCTCTAATTTGCTCCTCCCCAAAATTTCTCTTTTTTTCCCAAGGTTTCTAGGCCTTCTAACCAAAATCCCCATTTGATTAGAACTGCTAATATCAGCTAGAAATTGATTTTAAAAAATACACACCAATGTGAGAGGTTCATATTTTCTAAGGTATCTGCATTTGTGCAAATAAAAAATATAAATGTTTTTGATCTTATTTTACAGATTGGAGTGTCAAAAGGGTTCTACTGACTGGCCATACAAAATTATGGAGAGGGCCACAGTTAAAATTTAGGAAAAATTATCTTCTGAAGAGTTAAATCTGCATTTTCAGAGGTTTACCAACATAAAATCCCCAATCTTGTCTTTTTAAGATCTACAAAAATTATCAGAAAATTCCCAGACCCAGAGAGATTTGTGTCATGTGTTAGATTGACTTTAAACTGTGACCCACAGGGTAAGCTCCATAGCAGAGCTACTTGATATTGCAGATGATAATAAAGTCAAAAGAACAGTAAATAAAAGAACTATGTAGTCAGACACAGAAGTTGGATCACTTAAGTACCTGGGCTAAAAGATGGCAAATGCCAGAAATCAATGCAGATAAATGTGGAATACTGCATCTTGAAAAAGAAGAAAAAGAGGCAATGTTGGCAAAAAATAAAAAAAGAAAATACTTGCAGCATATTGCTTGAAGAACAGATTGGGAGTTATGGAAAAATTCTCTAAAGTGTGCAGTGCATTGTGTAGCTCTCCAAAGATGAAGGCAAAAAGAACAGTGACACACATTTGCCCCTGAAATACAATATAAATCACAGGGAATAGGGAAGGTTTTCACACACTCTCCAAGGAAGTAACTGAATCTCTGGAGTACATTGCTAATATTATTAGCCAGGTCTATGCATGGAAAAGCATGGGAAGCAGACAAGATATCATAGACAATTTTAATGGCCCAGAAAATTAGAATTTAACTTTCTTCCACCACTTTTGTCAAAACAGTTTTATGAATTCCTCGTAGGCAGTGAATCAAATATCATGTTAAATAGCTTGGGTATCGGTAAATAACTTTGTTGTTTAAAAGAATCAACATTTTAATGTAAAACTAATCTTCTTATCCAATAGTCTTCTCAAAATAATGAGAAAAGCACTATTTTAAAAATAATTCCCATTGACAAATGCTGACTTTTTCTTGCCTTTATTCCCTCTTTTCTTCTTTCTTTTTTTCTTTCTAATAGCAGTTGATAGAAAAATGCATTTTTTCTTTTCCCTAACTCTGTATTGTTTTTATGTTTTGCCACCCACAGAAGGTCCTAAAAATATACCCCTTAATTTTTCTTCCCTATATTATTAAATTATTTGGTATCTTTGCTATACTGAACATACAATTAACATTTTGGTGATTATAAAATAAATTTTACAAGGTCAATAAACAGTGATAATCTTATAAAAATTATTTCATGCTGACTGTGTGCCAGGCATTATTTTAAATTCTTTATTTTAAATTTTTGGCACAATTTGATAAGATAAATCCTATAAATACCACATCTGCAAAGAAGAGAACTGAAAGTAAGTGGTGGAGACGATGTTCCTGAAGGCAGAGCACTTCCTATACCCCACCATACCATTGCTCCATAGGTCCTGCAAACAACACTGTTAACTCCTGAGGGAAGTTCCAAAATGGCTCAAGGCATTTAGAAATAACAGTACATTCTGTGGTTCCATGGTAAGTGAGGAGCAGCATCAAGTCCTGAGAGAGAGACAGTGATCCATCGCTCTGCCTCATTCTTCTCATTTCCTTATATGTACCTGTTTGTAAAATCAAATGAGAATATATTTCATGAGAAACTTGACTTTATAAGGAATATGTTCAGCCTGCTGGTTTCATAGATTTCCCAGACTATAATATAATCATTATGACTTGTTTACTTTTTTCTATTTCTGTGAATAAAAGCAACCAAACTGAAGCCCAGTCTTCATCTTTGTCTCCCAGCTGAAACTGGCAAATATACCTTCACGTTTTATCTATCGGAGAAGGCACATCCAACTTTGCCTCAAAAGTCACCTGGGAAACTATCAAAGATACATCACCATTAGGAGGAAGGATATGAAATGAGTATAAAATTACTAAATAGATGACATGATAATTAAAGGAGTCCTGGGTAGAAAGCAAGAGAGGATACAGGCAAAACCAAAACGATTGTGAAATCTTGTCTCCTCGGATGTCAATATCCTGAGAGCTGGTCCTTTAATTAGAATTTTTTATTGTATTTAAGCTCAATACAAAAAAACTAATTGCAGTCACCATACCTAGAAACAGAGTTGGTTAGAACAAAAGGAGCTGTTCTGAAAAAAGAGAATCAGGGTTATAACAGTCCAGATATATAAATATGTACATGAACTATCATTTTTTTGTAACAAATGGTAAAAAGATAGGCTGGTGACAGTGAGAGAGCCGTGTGGAGGGCCTGCTTTATCACCTACCACAGACTATGTTTCCCAAGCAGCACTCTCGCCAGTCCTCAGCCCCAGGACATCATTAGTCCTTGCACATGGAAGCAATGAAGGTGTCTCTTAAAGTAAATCATTTGAGGATTTTTATAATCTCAAATAAAATTTTCTAATATTTTTTCTAAGTTTTCCAGGTTTAGGGTTTTAATCTTTTATTATTTATTGTGCAGCAGTTTTGAGGAGCATGGTGAGAAGCCCTGGATAAATAGTTGGATGGCAAAATGTGTGCCATTCAATGCTCTATTAAAAACTAATGAGTTCTTTCTTTTTCATATTATCACTCTCCTATCCTTTGGTGCTTAAAAATTAATAGCATGTGGGTTTATAAACCTTTGGTCATCGATCAGTAAAATTGCTGATAAATATCCTTTAGAGATTGCATAGGAAAGTCTATATATAAATTTTTCCTTCAATCATCAGAAAGACCGTAGGCATCCATTTCAACTGAACATATTTTCCAGTGTTTCTTTTCTTTTAATTATATAAAGATAAAATTATATGTCAAAAAAACACAAGACAAAATAAATCTATTTCAAATAACAACTTTGAAAATTAATAAGAAAAGATGTTAATAAAGCATGTGCTATGGAATAATAAAGGTAAATATATCTTACTTTGTTACTAATAAGTATTTGATAAAATAAAGAATCATTGGCAAATTCTTTTGGAATTAATCATAATAAAGTTAAGGGGGAAAGTACATTGTTCCAAATTCTTTTCTGAAAGTCTTAAGTCTCTGTATTTATTTCTCGTATTTGAGTAGAATTGATTTACCTCTGCCTGTTAAGACTTAGGCGTGGACATAGAAGATTATGAAACCTGAAAGGGTCTGACCCTTACCTAATGAAGGAAAACTAGAAAGCAGACCACTAAGGATCACTGCAAATGAGAGATCATGGACATTGACTACTGAATTATTTTTCTTATATATCCATGCATTCAGAAGTCCAACACACATAGAAAGGTAGGAAGAAGAAAAGGAGGCAAGAATGAAAGAAGCAAAGTAGAAAGGAAAGGAGGGGGTGCAAAAGAGAGGGAGGCAAAAAAGGAGGAAGGCCAATTATTACTGTTGAGTGTGTGATGAGAACTGAATTAAAGGTAAAATAGCTTAAGCCCTCTGATGCTTTTTAAACACAATTCTAGCCATATGTTTTCAGAGTATAGAACAAAATATCGCATCTATTCTTTGAAGATAAGTATTATTCCTGCTTCTCTTATACTTGATTGATTGTAAAAAGGACTTATTCTAGTTTTGGATTATGTATGCCATTTGGACCTTCAATTTATCTGTGGCAGCAAGCACTCTGATGAGTGTACTGTTTGTCCTATAACTGCTATCTTCCAGAGAGCATTTTGTTCCATTATGATCTCCTAGAACATTTTATTCTTGAAAAAGATGTGGCACAGACTGATTTTTCATTTTAAGAATTCCCCTTTAACTTCACCAGGTTTAAAATTTAAAAATTACTTTTTGAATAATAAAAAGTGGAAAAAATGATCAGAACTGGGACATATGCAGTCATGCAGAGTTTTAAAGACTACCAGTTCAAGTGTTGGGGTTTTTTAAAATGATAAGTGAAGAATAATGACTTTAAGAGTGTTATGTTATTGGCCCCAAGCCATCTTTGTGATTTTTAAAAATGATCGGTGAGTTATTAGAAGAATGTGTACCTTATTTTAAATACATTTAAGTCATATTAGTTTTTATTAACATTGGTTCTAGGCCCATGTGAAAGCATCTCACATGGAGGCTCTGCCTCCTGGGTTCACACCATTCTGCCTCAGCCTCCCGAGTAGCTGGGACTACAGGTGCCCATCGCCACGCCCGGCTAAATTTTTTGTATTTTTTTTAGTAGACGCGGGGTTTCACCGTGTTAGCCAGGATGGTCTCGATCTCCTGACCTCGTGATCCGCCCGTCTCGGCCTCCCAACGTGCTGGGATTACAGGCGTGAGCCACCGCGCCCAGCCCATTATTACTTTTCTGAAGGCAAGAAATATTTTTGTTGATATTTTATTTCCATTATCTAACATGGTCTTTAACATCTAGTAGATGCTCAATAAATCTTTGGTGGATAAATGGATGGGTGAATGGGTGAATTGAGGGTTGCACTGGGGAGTCTTGTCACAAATGGGTTTGAGGTAAAACGGTGAGGTAAGTGAGAAGTAAATGAGGGGATAAGGAAGCATTATTATATATGGCAACGGTGGGTGTGTGTTCTTTGCTTTAGAGCTCATATTTTACCTACTTCCTTGGGTAGTTGTTAAAAGTCAGCGTGAATATGGATCTTCATGAGTGCAACTTGGTAAAGGATAAGAAAGGGTTTTGTTTAAAAGCTTAAGCTACTGTGTACAGAGAAAATCTTGATCCAGCTCTAGTCTATAAAATGGATTTTCTCATGCATTCATTCTTAGCCGTGTCTTAATCATAGTTGTCTTTGAAGAAGGCAATTTATATTTAGCAAGAACTGCTATTAATTAGTATTCATGGGCATAGCCTTTCTTTCTGCTTATTCCAACGTTCCAAAATTGCAAGGAAAAAAAATGCCTGCCATTTAATTTTATTAAATCAGTTATGTGAACAACGGAATTCTGGCTTCAAGGACTGTATAAGCAAATTGTGCCAATTAGAAACACACAGCAAGTACCATGCACTTTCCTTTTGCATTAGTGGCTTTTAAATCATGTTATAGTGGCATAGTAACAAACACAGCTAGCATGGTATGACTGTCACATTTTCTACACGTTCATTTTTAGCTACTTTGCCTTTTAAAGAAAACATACAGTATGCTGTAGGCCTACACATAAAATGCTTCCCAAAATATAAGAGATAATTATATGCTTAAAGAGTAATATGCAAAAACTCTCCTTCAGATAATTATGAACACTTATTTCTCTACATGGGAAGCTAGCCAAGAAATAAAGATATGCCACACTTTGGGAAGTCATCCATTTTTAGTACACGAGGCAGTGCCCCATCAGATACTGTGAAAAGAAAGTTATCTGATTTTTTGTGATCAAATGAGCAAAAAAAGTAAAAGGAACTTCTAAAATGACAATTAACATCAATCACATAATGCCCCATTAAAAATCCTATGAGAAAAAATCTGCTATAAGAATAGGTGTTGTCAGTCATAAAATATTCAATTTTTTATAGATTCTAAAGATTTGTATATATCTTCTAGAATATTTTTAAAAAATCAATGGAAATTGAAAAATGCAAACAAATTTGTGTGAACTACACTGTATCTTTATTTACACTTATGTAAATTTTGATTAATTATGGTAAAAGGTGGTGGTTATAGCATTGGGTGAAAAACCTACATAATTGAAATATGCATGACACTAAGTCATACTTTTGGCCATAGCTTAAGCATTCTAAAATATAAAATTTTACCAGATCTCCCTTAAGATTTTAAATGGTCTAATTTGAGTATCAGGAAACTTTACATTGGAATTTATTCTTGGGAAATTTTATTTATTTAAAAGTAAAATAAATTGGTGATTAATTTTTAGTTTCTTTTGAAGTATTTTTATATATTATCAAGAATTCTCTTATTTAAAAATGTTTACTAACAGTGTAATATTATCCTCTAATTTAAAAAAAAATCTTTTACTAATTTTGATAATACTTACACAGAGTTAAATTCACAGATTTTTAAGTGTATACCTTGATAAACTTTGATGAATTCACACAAATATATAACTAACATCCTACCCGAGAAGCACACTGCCATAACCCAGCAACTTCCCTCATTCTCCCTTGCAATCAATACCCATAATCTATAGGCAAACATTGTTCTGTTTTCCATCACTATAAAATAGTTTGGTACATTATTGAACTTCAAATAAATGAAATTATCCAATATGCATTTATTTATGCTAGGAATTTGGGAGATTTTTGTGATCTACTGACACATGCAACTAGCTAGATATATCTCAAAAATCTCCCAAACTCCTGGCATAGATAAATCTATCTAGATTTATCTAGATACTCTAGATAGATACTCTAGATAGATAAATCCATGTGGATATGGATCTTCATGAGTGCATATCCACACTGATTTATCACTCAGTAGCATTACACTGTATGTATATACAGTAATTTGTCCACCCTCTTTTTGGTATACATTTGGATTATTTCCAGTTTGAACTATTACTGAGTGCAATGAAAATACTTTTACAAGTTTTATACAGACATTTAAAAATTTTCCATTGGGTAAATACTATAAGTTGAAATCCTAGGTCACAGGGACAGTCAGTGTATGTTTAAGGAAGTGCCAAACAGTTCTCCAAGTTGAGGTCAGTTTACACTCTCACCATCAGCATAAGAAGAATCTAGTTGCTCTGCATTCTTGCAGTCAGTCTACGTTATCAGTGTTTTTAGAAGTGTGTTGTTTAATTTCTAAATATTGGAGGTTGTTCTAGATATTTTGTTGATTTCCAGTCGTACTTCATTATGGACTTAGAATATCCTTGTGTGATTTCTGTCCTTCTGTCTGTGGTAAGGTTTGTTTTATAGCACACAACATTACCCATCTTGATGAAGATTGAAAAGAATACATATTCTGCTGTTGTTGAGTGGACCTTATGTCAATTACGTCGTTAGTTGATAGTGTTGCTCAGTTCATCTATATTCTTACTAACGTACTGCCTCCTTTTTCTCCCAATTTCTAAAAGAGAAGTGTTGAAATCACCAACTATAAATGTTGATTTGCCTATTTTTCTTATCACAGCTATCAGTTTTGTCTCATGCATTTTGAAGCTCTCTTGTTAGTTGAATATACATTTAGTATTCTTATGTCTTCTTGGAAAACTGTTCCCTTTATTATTTTGTAAGTTTCTATTTTATCCCTGATAATGCTATTGTTGTGAAGTCTGCTTTGTCTGAAATTTATACAGCTATTTAAGTTTCCTCATGATTAGTGTTTGCATGGTATATTTCTCCATTCTTTAAGTTTTAACCTCTTTAAAGCTTTATGTTTAAGGTGGGTTTCTTGTAGAAAGTATACAGCTGAGTCATGCTTTTTTCTTCCTTTACTCCCAAACAATTCAGTGCATTTCCTAAGAATAGGCATCTGTTTTTAGGAACAGTTTTACATAACTACACTGCAGTGATAATACTTAGAAAATTTAACATTGATAGAATACTACCCTCCAACATACTACCTTTACACAAATTATGTCCATTATGCTAATAATTTCCTTTTACGAGGAAACATATTCTTTGAGATCCAGGATCATACCAGACTTTGTTGTTAGTCTTTTTAGTTTTCTTTGAGTTGGAATAGCAACTTGGTATTATTTTCTTTGCTCTTTCTTTCTTTTCTTTCTTTCTTTTCTTTCTTTCTTTCTTTTCTTTCTTTCTTTCTTTCCTTCTTTCTTTTTTTTCTCTCTCTTTCCTTCTTCCTTTCTCTCTCTCTCTCTCTTTTTCTTTCTTTGCAGGTGACTTCTCTAGTTTTATTTCATATTTATTGAGGTATAGTTGGCAAAAATTTTATATATTTTAGGTGTATGAATTTGTTTGGCATATATAAACATTGTGAATAATCATCACAAACTAATTAAAATTTGTCATCTCACATAGTTCTCTTTTTCTCTTTATTTTTTATAATGAGAACACTTAAGATCTACCTTCTTACCAAATTTCAAGTGTACAATAAAGTATTGTTATGTATATTCACATTGCTGTACAATAGGGTTTCAGAACTTATTCATTTCACTTAATTGAAACTTTGTGCCCTTTGACCAACAACTTTTCATTTCTACCACCTCTAAACCTTGCAGCCATAATTTCAACCTATATATCTAAGAGTTTGAATATTGGGTATTTCACATATAATTGAGATTATGCAGTATTTATCTTTCTGTGTCTACCTAATTTCACTTAACACAATGTCCTTTAGGTTTACCTATATTGTTGAAAACATCAAGATTTCCTTCTTTTTTAAGGCTGAATAATGTTTCACTATGTATATATACCACATATTTACTCCATTCATTTATTGGTAGGAATTTAGGATGTTTCAATATCATGGCTATTGTGAATAATACTGCAATGAACATGAGAGTGCAGATATTTCTTTAAGATAGTGACTTCATTTTGTATGGATATATATGGATATAGATATATATGTATCTCCAGCAATCATATATATCTATGATATACATATATACATATATATGATATACATATATGAGATACATATATACTCATGTGTGTGTGTGTATGTGTGTGTGTGTATATATATATATATATATATATATATATATATATATATATATACATCATATGATTGCTGGGTCATATGGCATTTCTGTTTTCAATTTTTTGAGGAATCTTCATACTGTTTTCCAAAATGGTTTTTCTCCAAAAGTGCAGAAGTGGTCCCTTTTCTCTATTTCCTTGCTAACACTTGTTATCTTTTTTGTTTTTGATAGCAGCCATTCTAACAGGTGTGAGGTGATATCTCATTGTGTTTTTTATTTGCATTTCTCCAATGATTAGTGAGGTTTAACACCTCTTTATGTATTGTTGGATGTTTGTATGTCTTCTTTTCATAAGCTTCTATTCAGACCCTTTGCCTATTTTTTAATAGGGCTTTTACTTTGCTATTGAGTTGTATGAATTTCTTACATATTGTAAATATTAATCCCTTGTCTTATATAGAGTTTGACAATATGTCTATATAATCCCTTGTCTTATATAGAGTTCGCCAATATATCCTCCCTGTCTGTACGTTGCCTTTTCACTCTGTTGATTGTGTCCTTTGCTATGCAGAGGTATTTTGTTTGATGTAATTTTGTTTGTCTATTTTTGCTTTTATTGTCTGTGCTTTTGGCATCATATCTGAAAAATCATTTCCCAGAACAGTGTAAGAAACCTTTCCCCTAAGTTTTTCTTCTTAGTGTTTTGTGGTTTCAGGTCTTATATTTAAGTCTTTAATTTATTTTGAATTTTTTTATATTTATGCAAGATAAAGTTCCATTTACATTCTTCTACATGTGCATATCCAGTTTTCCTATCGCCATTTATTGGAAAGACTATTCTTTCTCCATTGTATGTTCTTGGCACCATTGCTGGAGATCTGTTGATAAATGGATTTATTTCTGTAATTTGTATGATGTTCCATTGGTCTATATGTCTGTTTTTATGTCAGTACCATGCTGTTTTGATTCCTACAATATTGTAATTTTTTTGAAGTCAGGACATATAATACCTCTAGCTTTGCTCTTCTTGCTAGAGATTGCTTTGGCTATGTAGGGTCTTTTGAGGTTTCATTTGAATTTTGGAGTTATTTTTCTCTTTCTGTAATGAATGCTATTGGAATTTTGATAGGGAATTGCATTGAATCTGTAAATTGCTTTTGGTAGTATAGATGTTTTAAAAATATTAAATATTCCTATCCATGAACACAGACAGGTCTTTTTATTTATCTATGTCTTCTTTAATTTTATTTATCAATACTTTATAATTTGCAGTGTATAACTCTATTACCTCTTTGATTAAATTTATTGCTAAGTATTATATTTTTGGTTGATATCATGAAAGATATTGTTTTCTTTTTTATTTATTTATTTTTAATTTCAATAAGTTTTGGGAGAACAGGAGGTGTTTTGTTACATGGATAAATTCTTTAGTGGTGATTTCTGAGATCTTGGTGCACCCATCACCCAAGGAGTGCACACTGTATTCAATGTGTAGTCTTTTTTTTTTTTTTTTTTTTTTGAGGCGGAGTTTTGCTCTGTCGCCCAGGCTGGAGTGCAGTGGCGCGATCTCGACTCACTGCAAGCTCCGCCTCCCGGGTTCACGCCATTCTCCTGCCTCAGCCTCCCGTGTAGCTGGGACTACAGGCGCGCACCACCATGCCCGGCTAATTTTTGTATTTTTAGTAGAGACGGGGTTTCACCGTGTTAGCCAGGATGGTCTCGATCTCCTGACCTCGTGATCCGCCCGTCTCGGCCTCCCAAAGTGCTGGGATTACAGGCGTGAGCCACCACGCCCGGCCAATGTGTAGTCTTTTGTCCCTCACCTCCCCACCACCTTTTCCTTATGTCCTCAAACTCCATTGTACCATTCTTATGCCTTTGCGTCTTCGTAGCTTAGCTAACACTTATATGTGAGAACATATAATGTTTGGTTTTCCAGTCCTGAGTTACTTCACTTAGAATAATGGTCTCCAACTCCATCCAGGTAGCTGTGGATGCCATTATGTCATTTCTTTATATGGCTGAGTAGTTTTCCATGGTATATTTATACCACATTTTCTTTCTCCACTTGCTACCTGATGGGCATTTGGACTGGTTCCATATTTTTCCAATTGTGAATTGTGCTGCTGTAAATACGTGCATGCAAGTGTCTTTTTCATATAATGACTTCTTTCCCTCTGGGTAGATAACTAGTAGTGAGATTTTTGGATCAAATGATAGATCTACTTTTAGCTCTTTAAGGAATCTCCATACTGTTTTCCATAGTGGTTGTAATAGTTTACATTCCCACCGTCAGTGTAAAAGTGTTCTGTTTTCACCACATCCATGCCAACATCTATTTTTTTTTTATTTTTTAATTATAACCATTCTTGCAGGAGTAAGATGGTATCTCATATAGTGGTTTTGATTTTGCATTTCCCTGATCATTAGAGATGTTGAGCATTTTTTCATATGTTTGTTGGCCATTTGTATATCTTCTTCTGAGAATTGTGTATTCATGTCCTTAGCCCACTTTTTGATTGGATTGTTGTTTTATTTATTGCTGAATTGTTTGAGTTCCTAGTAGTTTTTGGATATTAGTCTTTTGTTGCATGAATAGTTTGCAAAGATTTTCACCCACCCTGTGGGTTGTCTGTTTACCCTGCTGATTATTTCTTTTGCTGTGTAGCTTTTTAGTTTAATTAAGTCCTATCTATTTATCTTTGTTTTTGTTGCATTTGTTTTGGGTTCTTGGTAATGAACACTTTGCTTAAGCCAATGTCTATTAGGGTTTTTCCAATGTTATCTTCTAGAATTTTTATGGTTTCAGGTCTTAGATTTAAGTCTTGGATAGATCTTGAGTTGATTTTTGTGTAAGGTGAGAGATAAGGACCCAGTTTTATTCTCCTACATGTGGTTTGCCAATTATTCTAACACCATTTGTTGAATAGTATGTCCTTTCCCCACTTTATGTTTTTGTTTGCATTGATGAAGATCTTGGCTGCAAGTGTTTGGCTTTATTTCTGGGTTCCATTGGTCTATGTACCTATTTTTATACCAGTGCCATGCTGTTTTGGTGACTATAGCCTTATAATATAGTTTGAAGTTGGGTAATGTGATGCCTCCAAAATTGTTCTTTGTTTTGTCTATGCAGGCTCTTTTTTGGTTCCATATGAATTTTAGGATAGTTTTTTTCTGGTTCTGTGAAGGACAATGGTGGTATTTTGATGGGAATTGCATTGAATTTGTAGGCTACTTTTGGCAGTATGTTCATTTTCACAATATTGATTCTACCCATCCACAAGCAAGGGATGTGTTTCCATTTGTTTGTGTCATCTATGATTTCTTTCAGAAGTGTTTTGTAGTTCTCCTCGTAGAGGTTTTTCACCACCTTGGTTAGGTATATTCTTAAGTTGTTTTTCTTTTTTTTTTTTTTTGCAGCTACTGTAAAATAGGTTGAGTTATTGATTTGACTCTCAGCTTGGTAACTGCTCGTTTATAGCAGTGATATAGATTTGTGTACATTGATTTTGTATCCTGAAAGTTTACTGAATTTATTTATCAGATCTAGCAGCTTTTTTGATAAGCCTTTTCTAAGTATATGGTCATATCATTGGTGAACAGTGACAGTTTGACTTCGGTTTTATTGATTTCAATGCCCTTTACTTCTTTCTCTTGTCTGATTGCTCTGGCTAGGCTGTCCAGTACTATGTTGAATAAAAGTGGTGAAGGTGGTCATCTTTGTCTTGCTCCAGTTCTCAATGCTTTCAACTTTTCCCCATGCAGTGTAATGTTGGCTGTGAGTTTGTCACAGATGGCCTTTATTACCTTAAGTTATGCCCCTTTTATGCCAATTTTGCTGAAGTTTTTAATCATAAAAGCATGCTGGATTTTGTCAAATGCTTTTTATGTATCTATTGAGATGATCATATGATTTTTGTTTTTAAATCTGTTTATGTGGTGTATCACGTTAAACCACCCCTGCATCCCTGATGAAACCCACTTGATCTTGGTGTATTATTTTTTTGACATGCTGTTGGATTTAGTTAAATAGTATTTTGTTGATGATTTTTGCATCTATGTTTGTCAGGGACATTGGTCTGTAGTTTTCTTTTCTTCTTTTTTTATGTCCTTTCCTGGTTTGGGTATTAGAGAGATACTGGTTCATAGAAAGATTAGGAGGATTCCCTCTCTCTCTCTTTTTGGAATAGTGTATAGGGTTGGTACCAATCCTTCTTTGAATGTCTGGTAGAACTTAGCTGTGACTCAATCTGGTCCTAGAATTTTTTTGTTGTCAATGTTTTTATTACCATTCCAATCTTCCTGCTTGTTATTAGTCTGCTCAGAGTTTCTATTTCTTCCTGGTTTAATGTACGAGGGTATTATATTTCCAGGAATTCATTAATCTCCTCTAGGTTTTCTAGTTTGTGTGCTTAGAGGTGTTCTTCATAGTCTTGAGTGATCTTTTGTTATTTCTGTGGTATCGGTTGTAGTATCTCTCATTTTGCTTCTAATTGAGCTTATTTGGATGTTCTCTCTTCCTTTCTGGTTCATCTCGCTAATGGTCCATTAATTTTGTTTATCTTTTCAAAGAACCAGTTTTTTGTTCCATTTACCTTTTGTGGTTTTTTTTTTCAGTTTTATTTAGTTCTGCTCTTATCTTTGTTATTTCCTTTCTTCTGCTGGGTTTGGGTTTGATTTGTTCTTATTTCTCTAGTTCCTCAAAGTATCACCTGAGATTACTTCTTTGTGTTCTTTCAGAATTTTTCATGTAGTCATTTAATGCTATGAACTTTCCTGTTAGCACTATTTTTGCTGTATCCCAGAGGTTTTGATAGGTTGGGTCACTATTATTGTACAGGTCAAATAATTTTTAAAATTTTATCTTGATTACATTATTCACCCAATGGTCATTCAGGAGCAGATTATTTAATTTCCATGTATTAGTATAGTTTAGAGGGTTCCTTTTGGAGTTAATTTTCAGTTTTATTCCACTGTTGTCTGAGAGAGTACTTGATATAATTTCAATTTTCTTAAATTTATTGAGACTTGTTTTGTGGCTTATCTTATGGTCTATCTTGGAGAATGTTCTATGTGCTGATGAATAGAATGTATTTTCTGCAGTTGTTGGGTAGAATGTTCTTTAAATATCTGTTAAGTCTATTTGTTCTAGGGTATTGTTTAAGTTCATTGTTTCTTTGTTGATTTTCTGTCTTGATGACCTGTCTAGTACTGTCAATGGAGTACTGAATTCCCTGACTATTATTGTGTTGCTGTCTTTCTCATTTCTTATGTCTAGTAATAATTGTTTTACACATTTGGGACTCCACTATTAGGTACATATATATTTAAGATGTAATATTTTCCTGTTGGACTAGTCCTTTTATCATTATATAATGTCCTTCTTTGTATTTGTAAACTGCTTTTGCTTTAAAGTCTTTTTTGTCTGATATAAGAATAGCTACTCCTGCTTGCTTTTGGTGTCCATTTGCATAGAATATCTTTTTCCACTCCTTTTCCTTAAGTTTATGCAAGTACTTATGGGTTAGGTGAGTCTCTTGAAGACAGCAGATACTTGGTTGGTGAATTCTTATTCATTCTGTCATTCTGTATCTTTTAAGTGGAGCATTTTGACCATTGATAATCAATGTTAGTATTGAGATGTGAAGTACTGTTCTATTCATCATACTAGTTGTTGCCTGAGTATCTTATTTTGTTTTTCATTGTGTTATTGTTTTTTAGGTACTGTGAGATTTATGATTTAAGGAAGTCCTACTTTGGTTTGTTTTGAGGTTTTGGTTCAAGATTTAGAACTCCTTTTAGCAGTTCTTGTATTTCTGACTTGGAAGTGGCAAATTCTCTCAGCATTTGTTTCTTTGAATGAGACTGTATCTTTCCTTCATTTATGAAGCTTAGTATTGCTGGATACAAAACTCTGGGCTAATTGTTTTGTTTAAGAGGCTAAAGATAGGACCGCAATCCCTTCTAGCTTATAGTTTTCCTGCTGGGAAATCTGCTCTTAATCTGATAGGTTTTCCTTTATAGGTTACCTGATGCTTTTGCCTCACAGCTCTTAATATTCTTTTCTTTGTCTTGACTGTAGATAACCTGATGACTATGTGCCTAGGCGATGATACTTTTGCGATGAATTTCCCAGGTGTTCTTTGAGCTTCTTGTATTTGGATGTTTAGATCTCCAGCAAGGCCAGGGAAGTTTTCATCAATTATTCCCAAATAAGGTTTCTAAACTTTTAGATGTCTCTTCTTCCTTGGAAACACCAATTATTCTTAGGGTTGGCTATTTAACATAATCCCAAATTTATTTTAGGCTGTGTTCATTTGTTTTGATTTTTTTCTTTGTCTTTGTCAGATTGGGTTAATTCAAAAGCCTTGTCTTCAAGTTCTAATGTTCTTTCTTCTCCTTGTTAAATTATACTGTTGAAACTTTCCAGTGTATTTTGCATTTCTCTAAGTATGTCTTTCATTTCCAGGAGTTGTGATTGTTTTTCATTTATGCTGTTTCTAGAAATTTTCTGTGGAGATTTTCATACATATCCTGAAGTTTTTTAAAATTTCTTTAAGTTGTTTTTCACCTTTCTCTGAGGCCTCCTTGAGTAACTTAAAAAATCAGCCTTCCAAATTCTTTTTCTGGTACTTCAGAAATTTCTCCTTGTTTCAAATTCATTATGAGTGGGCTAAAGTAATCTTTTGAGGGAGTTAAAGAAACTTGCTTTATCATATTACCAAAACTGTTTTTCTGGTTCCTTCTTATTCAAGTAGACTATGTCAGAGGGAAAATCAAAGCTCAAGGGCTGCTTTTCATTCTTTTGTCCCATGGGGTGATCCCTTGATGTGGTGCCCTCCCCCTTTCCCTAGGGATGGGGCTTCCTGAGAACCAGACTGCATTGTTATTGCTCTCCTGGGTCTAGTCACCCAGGGAAGCTACTGGGCTCTTGGATGGTACTGGGGAGTGTCTGCTAAGAGTCCTGTGATGTAATCCATCTTCAAGTCTGCCAGCCATGAGTACCAGCACCTGATACGGTGCAGGTAGCAGGGGAGTCAAGTGGACTCTGCAAGAGCCCTTGGTTACAGTTTTGTTCAGTGCACTGGTTTTCTCAAATGCTGGTTGCACTAGCAATTAAGTTGTCACATGGACAGACTCAGGACCTCTGATTAGCCAGGATGTTACCGGCAGAGGAATTAGCTGTTGCTTTCTCCTTTCTTGGAGTGGAGTTATTATTTTATGAGTTCCTTTAATGGCTTGTGTTGGTTGACCTCCAGCCAGGAGGTTGCGCTTTCCAGAGAGCCTCAGCTGTGGTAGTATGGGGGGATTCAAGCTTGCCCTAACATGGCCTGTGTTAAGTATTTGGGTTTCTCAAGCAATGGATGGGGTCATAGAGCTCCCAAGAAATTATGTATTTTGTCATCACCTACCAGGGTGGGTAGAAAAAGACCATCAAGTTGAGGCAGGGCTAGGTGTGTCTGAGCTCAGACTCTCCTTGGGTGGGGCCTGCTGCAGCTGAGTTTTTCAGCTGTCTTATGGAGTTTGCAATGGCAAGCCATTTCTTTCACAAGGCCTGTGTATTATTTCAGTTTTCTTGGTATGTTCCTGCAGTAATTTTTGGATCAAAAGTTCACTGTGTGAGTCCCCACACACTGTTCTGTCTGTCCAAGTGGGAGCTACAAGTTAGTCTTGCCTCCTATTTTTTGTATCCCCCAAGAGATATTGTTTTCTTAATATCCTTTTCAGGAAAGCCTACACAATATTCTCTGTGTATAGGATTAACACTACTAATTTTTATTTGTTGATTTTGTATCCTGCAACTTTCTAAATTTTAGTTCTGTTTTCTTGTTATCGTTGTTGTTGATGTAGTTGATTCTTTAGGGTTTTCTACATAGAGGATCATGTCATCAGCAAACAGATATAATCTTACTTTGTTCTTTCTGATTTAGATGCCTTTTTTTTTCTTGTCCAATTGTTCTGCCTAGGACTTCCAGTATTATGTTGAAAAGAAGTTGAAAGAGTGGTCATCTGTGTATTGTACTGGACCTTAGTGGGAAAGTTTTCAGTTTATCTTCTTTAATTATGATGTCATCTATGAGCTTTTCATTTATAGTCTATATTGTGTTAAGGTAATTTCTTCTACAACTATTTTCTTGAGAATTTTAGTAATCGTGAATTAGTGTTAAACTTTGTCAAATATTTTTCTACATCTACTAAGATGATGATGTGATTTTTTCCTTTTCATTATGTTAATGTGATGTATCAGAATTATTGATCTGCATATATTAAATTATTCTTGTTCTTCAAGGATAAATCCCACTTGGTTGTGGATTCTGATTTTTTATAGGGCTGTTGAACTTGGTTTGCTATTATTTCATTGTGAATTTTTGCAGATATGTTCATCAGGAATGTTAGCCTGTAGTTTTATTTTCTTATGGTGACTTTTTCTGATTTTGGTGCTGGGATGATACTTGTCTCATAACATTAGTTTGGTAGTGTTTCTTGTTTTATTTTTTTGGAAGAGTATAAAAAACTGTTATTAGTTTTTTGAGTGTTTGGTAGAATTCACCTGTGAAACCATCAGGTTTTGGGCTTTTCTTTCTAGGGAGATTTTTGATCTCCCTAGAGATTTGGGAAGATTCAGTCTTCCCAAAATCTGGGAACTTTTCATCCAACAGTTCTTTATATAAGCTTTCTGTCTCTCTATATCTCTCTTCTCCTTCTTGAATACTTAGAATGCACATCTTAGTTCAGTTAATAATTTCCCTTAAATGCCATAAGCTTTCTTCACTCTTAAAATCATTTTCTTCTTCTCTGACTGCATAATTTCAACTTATATGTCTTCTAATTTAAAGGTTATTTTTTCTGCTTGATTGATTGTTCTTAAGGTGCTCTATCGCATTTTTGATTTCATTCATTGTGTTTTACTGCTCCAGAATATCTGTTTTTTTAAATAATTTCTAATTCTTTATTAAATTTTTAATTTTATTTGTGTACTGTTTCCTGATTGTATTGATTTGTCTGTCTCTGTTTTCTTGTAGCTACCTGAACTCCTCTAAAACAACTCTTTCGGTAATTTTGAGCTCTTTAGAAATTTATACATCTTTATTTCTTTGGGATTAGTTACTGGAAATTCATTGTGGTTTTTGTTTTCTGGTGGTATCATGTTTTCCTGATTTCTGTTTTCCTTGTAGACTTGTGTTGCACATATGAAGGAGCAGTCACCTCTTTCAGATTTATGGATTGGCTGCAGTGGGGGAAGATCTTTTCCTACAGGTAGGTATGAGGGCACTGGCTGAGAGGAGTGTGGAAGCTATGGGGTTTGGGGGGAGAATTCAGTGGCTCTGGCCCTGGAGGGGTTCAGTGTTGGCTAATACAGTCATTTTGGGTGGCAAATGCTGTGTGTATTTGTAAAGAAGGTGAAGGCTGCTGAGACCTTCAGTGGCAAAGTCTGCTGGGGACCTTTTGCTCTTTCTTTCACTCACAGGGGCAGATTGTAGCCAACAGGATCAACCTATGTGACAAATTGTGCTGGGTTGGGGAAGTGCTTTTGCAGGTAAAATGTTTCCTATTCTTCTCTACGCAGCCATTCTTTTTGTGCTCCACTGGGTGTTGCAGTTTCTTCATTGTAATTCAGCGTTCTCCCAGAGCTATTTTTGTTGGTTGGTAGTTATTGAATTGTTTTGTGTAAGGGACATAAACTGGAACTTCCTATTCTGCCATCTTGCTGTTGTCATTCCCCAGGTTATGCTTTTTTAACCAATCTGATAATCTTTGTCTTTTAAATTGTGTGTCTACACTATTCATTTTTACAGGGATTATTGATATAGTTTCATTAAAACATACCATCTTGCTAGCTGTTTTTCATTAGTTCCATTTGTTCTTTATTTTTAATCCTCTTTACTTTTTGCCTTTTCTGGGCTTATACATTTTTAAAATAATTTCATTTTCTCTTCTCTACTGAGCTATTATTTATATTTTTCTTAAAAATAGTAGTTGTTCTTGGAGTTTGTGTTCAAATAATATTATATTATTAAATATTATATTAAATAATTATATAAATATTATATAATATTAATAAATATTATATTTATAGCACCTTCATATGCTAATGACCTGGGATATACCTTTATATTCCTAATTCTTTCCTCTTATTCTTCATGGTACTGGTATCACATATTTTTTACTTTTACATATACTATAAGCACACAATAAATAGTTACAATTTTTGCTCCAAGCAATTATAATCAGAGTAATGAAAATCAAGAACCTCATAAATTACTTTACCTTAATTGATTCTATTTCCAGTACTTTTCTTAAGGTAAATCCAAATTTATTATTTTATATTCCTCTGCCTGAATGTTTTAGGAGCCCCTCGCTAAATTCAAGTTCCAGTATCAGAGTGACTAGCAACCCTGCTTTAACAGAAAATGAAGGACTGCTGGATGTGTTCATGGTGTGCCTTTCATTGGATACTTTTTTTCTTACCTGGTAGATAACCTAATAACACCTACTTGTCCAACTTATGATGGGGGTTTCCTTCACACAGGAAACTTGCTTATGGTTATCCTTGTGGTTCTTGTCTGACAAGTTTCTAGTTTATGGCTGCCTGACCATCATTCTGGCAGTGAGTCCAACCTTGTGTTCCCTCAGCCTGGGGAAACCCTTAGTTCTTTAGATGGAAAGTGCAAATTCAATATAACACCAAAAAAGGAAACAAGTACAAAAATCTTTATGTGCAGATTCTGGGAAAGTGCAGTGTGGTGAATCAGAAGGGCAACCCTCTGTCTTCAGGTCATGCAAGGCAGGAATGAAGAATTAGATGGAGAGAGAGAGAGAATGAAAGAAAGAGATAGACAGAGAGGGCCCAGCAACTGGGAATGTATATGAGGGAATAGGTGTGGGTTACTTTAAGTTGGTGAGCAAATGGCTGAACAGTCCATTTAAAGGAGCTAGTGGGAAAGCAAGGAGCCCAGTCTGCTAGATGGCAGAGACACCTCTAGGTTCTTATCTGTGGCCACTGGCTTGAACTATGTGGATGTGGGATACAACTGGAAACTGTGTGCTTCTGGTATGAAAAAATTAAACTTGTATTCAGAATAAATGCTAAGGCAACACAAAATTATAAAAATTTATTACATTGAAGAACATTCTCTAACATTTCTACAATTCTTTCAAAAATATCTTCTAGCAATAAATCACTCATTTTTTATTTACATAAGGAAATCGTTATTTTTTCCTCAATTTTTGAATGATATTTTACTAGGTATAGAATTCTGGGTTGACAGTGATTCCCTACCAGTGCTTGAAAAGACATCACTCCATTTTATACTTTCTTGAATGCTTTCTGATGAAAGATCTGCTGTAATTCTTATCCTTGTTTCTTTGTAGGTAATATGTCTTTTTCTTCTGGTTGCAAGACTTTCCCTTTGTCTTAATTTTTTAGCAAATATTTGCTTGGGTGGTTTGTGTATTTATCAATTACGTATTTTGGATACAAGTTCTTTGTCTTATAGATGCATTGCAAATATTTTCTCCCTGGTTATAGCTTACCTTTTCACTTTTTAAATTGTGTCTTTTGATGAGATGAAGGTTTTAACTTAGATAACATTTAATGTGTATAATTTTTATGATTTTTTTTGTCCCTGAAAAAATCTCCTATTCCAATAACAAAAACATTCTCTTATTTTTTGTAAGCACCTTGTAGTTCTAGATTTTATATTTAACTGTATGATCCATTTCAAATTAATTTTTGTGTATGATACAATGTAGGAGTCAAGATTAAATTGTTTCCTTTAAAGACATGTGTAGTTGTTTCCAGCACCATGGGTTGAAAACTCTATTCTTTCTCCTGGCGAATTATGTAGATACCTTTGTTGAAAAATCAGTCAGCCACATGTGTGTCTATTGCTGGACTTCACATTATTTTCATTGATATATTTGCCTATCCTTAGGGCAACATCACACAGACTACATTACTATAAGTGGAAGGTGTGTCTTTGTTTGTTTATGGTATATTAAATTTGGACCTTTTTATTTTGTGGTGAGAGGAAACTGCTGGATTCATAACATTTGGAGTCTTGAGTCTGTGTGAACTACACTAACCAAGAAATGAAACCAAGACCTTAAATCTTCTAAGACCATCTATCATCTCTCCCTCTCTCTTTCCTTTATTTATTTTCTTCTCCCTTTCCTTATTTTAGAAATTAAAAATATAATAGATGCCTTGCCTACACATCAAGCAAGAATGCTTTGAAAAATAATATTCTGTATAAACTTACAGAGAGTTTTGTATTTACCTGATGTGAAAAGACAATTCTTATACTTCTAAATGCTGACATGTATACATGTAAGCTTTGAATTTCAGAGAGTTCATTAGAAGCCTTGGATATTTTGTTTCTTATTTTGACTTAAAGACAAGGAGAACTGGGAAGACAAAGTCCTAGAAGAATGACTGTTGTATTTCAGCTAAAATAGGACCTCTTTCCTTCTCATCACCCAACACCTCCATCTATAGTCAGGCAAAACCCAATTAGCTATTAATTGATATGCATTAAAATTCATTAACTTTGCATGTGAGGCCTAGGCTATAATTAATTGTCTTTCTTACCTTTTGTTCTGAAATCTCTAGGTAAAAGATCTCATTGCTATTAAGAAGGAGAGAAATAATTTTGTGTAGTTAGTTAGACACAAGGTCTCCAGAAGGCTGGGTGACTGAGTGCCCCAAATGTCTGATCATAGCCAATGTCTGATCATAGCCAAGTAGCATTGCCAAATCCCTGAAATTATTTTCCTAGGTTAAATTTATTTTTGACATATTTGAAAAGGGAAAAAAAGTAGTAATATTTGTAATAGTTTCTGTTACAATGCTCTGGTCAGATTAAGATACTTGCACATTTAATTACACTGTGTACATGTCCTCAATCAAATCAGAATTTAGAGTTAAACTTTAGATCCAAAAATATACTTGCCGAATGTGCAATTTTAAGTAAATAGTTCTGAAAGTAGATCAATTTTAATCTAACAGTATTGAAATCACTATATATTTTTTTTAAAAAGTCAACTTACAAATGAGTGATAGACAAAATAAATTTTTACCTCAGACTCAACAAAAGTTAGAATTTTCCTAAATAGCTTGCATCTGGCTTCCAAATGTGATATTTGAATAGGTTTACAGTAAGAGTTATTTCAGAACATGAGTATATGGGATCTACAAAAATACAAAGAATATAAAATCCCTATGATCTCAAGTTCCTTAAAAGTTGGCTATGAGAAGAATTATGTACAAACTTTAAGTGAATATTTTAACCCATTTTGCAGTGGATTCCATCCATTAGTAGACACAAAAGAAAGAAAATAATGTCCAATAAGAAATAAAGAAAACTTAATTAACCCTTTTTTATTTCAAATTATTATTTATTTATTTATTTAAAATTTTACTTTATGTTCTGGGATACATGTACGGAATGTGTAGGTTTTTTACATAGGTATACGTGTGCCATGGTGGTTTGCTGCACCTATCTTAAAATTCATAAAATTACAGAAAACCATTAAGAAATTTTAGTCTCTCTATTCTCCATTCTGCAATTTGGACTACTGGGACCTTGTGATTTAAATGACTTTTCTAAAGCCATGATCCTGGTAAGTGCCAGAATTGTAAGACAAATCTGTTTTCTACCTAATTCATAATTAGTTCTTTCCAGTACATAATGAGCTGAACATTCAATTCATGCTTGATTCTAGAAAATTATCCTGTATTTTTACATTAGTCTGGATATATCCTAGGTGTTTTAAACTCCCAGAAGATAACTATATGTTCTGCTCATAGCTAACATTTATTTTAGTGCTATTATGTTATAGGGACTTTTCTAAGTATTTCACATCTATCAAATAATTTAACCCTCAGATTAGTCCTATGAGATCAGTTCTATTATTGTTATCTTCATTTAACAGATGAAAACATGGAGGTTCAGAGAGGCTAAGTGACCTGCCCAGGGTCTCAGCTTCAAAGTGAAGTTTGGTGTTTAAAAAGCCTATGCTCTTAACCTATGCATACTAACGTTTACATATAATAATGGCCCATGATGGCTGGAGTAATACATAAGTCCAATTCTACAGTAATCAGCAATAATAGAGAAGTTTTCCAAACTTTAAAAAATGTTTTCAAATAATTGTCTATTGAATTACAAATTGGACAGTTTCCTCTTAGGTCTTGCTGTTTTGTATTCTCACCAGTGCTGAGGTGAGATATGACTGAAGAATAAATGTTTCATTACCTGTGTATTTTAAATGTTAAAACATTGTTGAATAACTTGTATCCTGATTCTTCTTTGTTTCTGCTGGCTGCTACTCCTGTGAGTAACTTCTCAATGTTAGTTGTCCCAGATCCAGATACTTGGCCACTCTTCTTCTTCTACCTTCTCTCATAGATATTTTCATTCATTTATTGAATTTTCAACCCATGTGTAGGCCCATGGAAACTAAATTTCTATCTCTAGCCATAGCCACTGAGTTCCAAATTTAAATATGTTTTTATTTGTCTTTTGGCATATCCGCTTGAAATTCCAATAAATACCTCAGATTTAATACAATTGGAGTAGAACCCTGTAATCCCTTCTGCCCTCAAACACAGAGCAGGAAACAAAAATAAAAATAAAATCTGCTCTTAGCTCAGTATTTTCCATACCAGTTAATACCACCCCATCCACCTAGCTGTTCTCCCCCAAATTAGAAGTCATTCTGAAGCATTTACTTCCCTTACACTCTGCATTAGTCCTTTACCACATACTGTCAGCTGTACTTTCAAACCATTCTGTCTTATCTATCACCTTCCCTTCCTCTCCGCTGCTATCATTCTAAGCCAAACCACATACATCTCTTGCCTGAATTACTTGGTAGCCTGTTATTTGGTCTCCTTGCTTCTACTCTCCCCCCTTTATAATAAATTTTCTATATACCAGCTACAGGTGTATCTTTAAAAGGTAAATCTCAGTGTGTTGCGCACATCCCTTTCCTGCTTAAAGACCTCCAATGGCTCCAATGGCTATCCGCTGCATTTTGAATAAAACTCAGATCTTCATCATAACCTCAATGCTTTGTGTGATCTCAGTCTTGCTTACCTGTCTGAATTCATTGTTTGTCACTCTCCCCTCACTAATTACATTCCAGCCATAAAAGTTTGGTTTCAGTTCCTTGAATAAACCAATCATGCTTGCCTCAAGAATCTGTCAATAAATATTGGGAGTTTAAAGAAAATTAGGAAAAAAATGCTGATGTGTTGTATATTGCTTCAACCACTTCTTGAGAAAATAACTGTAAAGATGATTCAGAGATCATTAGGACCACCACCTTGGTTTCAAAAGGCTGGGTGACCTCTGTTCAAAAACATGGGGAAGGAACTACCCTGTAGAACCTTGGGCAGCGGGAGCCCTGCCTAGAGCCATTGAGTGATGTTGCCGCCCCCAGTGGGCCGAAAAGGTGAGACATGGAGCCAAAGAGGATTATATTTGAAACTTAAGGTCTAATAGAATTTGCCTAGCTAGGTTTTGGACTTGCTTAAGACCTGCCACCTTTTTCTTCCTTTCTATATTTTTCCTTTTTCAATGCGAATGTCCATCCTATGCCTCTCTCATCATTATATTTTGTGGGCAGATAACTTTTCAGGTTTCACAGGCTCACAGCTGAAGGGGAATTTGCCTTGGGATTAATTGTACTTAGAGTCTCATACATATATGACTTATATGTTATTTAGCTAAAACTTTGGACTGTAGATTTTAGAGTTGATGCCAGAATGAGTTAAGACTTGTAGGGCTTTTGGTATAAAATTAATGTATTTTACAGGCAAGAAGTACATAAATTTTGGGGGATTGGAAACAGAATGTTACAGACTGTGTTTTCCCCAAAATTCATATGTTGAAATCCTATTCATCAATGTGATGGTATTTGGAAATGGGGTCTTTGAGATATAATTAGGTTTAGATAATGATGGGTAATCATGATGGAATTATTGCTCTTATGAGAAGAGATACCACAGAGCTTTCTGGTCTCTCTCTGCCATGTGATAACACAGCAAGAAGGCAACCATCTACAAGCCAACAAAAAGGCCCTCACCAGACATTGACCAAGATGGCACCTTAATCTTGGATTTATAGCCTCAGAAATGTGAGAAAATAAGTGTTTAAGCCATAAAGTCTACGGTATTTTGGTATGGCAGACCAAGCTGACACATGGTTTCCAATTTACTAACAAAAATTTCCACAAGAGAAAAAAAATATTTATTTACACTTGCCACATTTTTTAAAACTAGAAAGGTATATACGACTTTACTTTTTCCACCTAATCCCACCTCCTTTACTTGATCGATCTGAGCCTGAAATGGCAACTAGGATTGGGAAGAAGACAGAGGAAGAGAGAGTGCAAGGAAGAGAAAGGATCTGGATAAACTCTCCCTCTGTCCTCGGGTTTCTGAGGCTGAGTTAGGCCTAAGCTAGAGGAGAGAAGTTTTAAATTCAATAACAGATTAAAGGTTTTTTTGTTTTGTTTTAAATGGCACTGGGCTTTTTCATATATGAAAAGGATTTTATTTTATTTTATTTTTATTTTTCTGTAAGTTGTTGGGGTACAGGTGGTATTTGGTTACATGAGTAAGTTCTTTAGTGGTGATTTGTGAGATCCTGCTGCCCCCATCACCTAAGCAGTATATACTGCACCACAGATGTTGTCTTTTATCCCTCGTCCCCCTCCCACTCTTCCCCCAAAGTCCCCAAAGTATGTTGTATCATTCTTATGCTCTCCTTAAAAGATACAGAACCACAGAATGAGGAAAAAGAATTTTTTTAATGGTGAGATGCACTCAAGATTTAATTCATTGTCAGGAAAGAACTATTTGACAAAGTTAGTTCAAAGGGATAGTGGTAAAATAGAATAAAGTTGCTTTCTGTTTCTTCTCCACAAAATACAGATTAACTAATTAACCATATACAGAAGTAAAATAATATAATACCTATCATAGGAAAGCATAAAAATGTCCTAGAGGAATTCTTGGAAATCCTGGTAGAAGGAAGGGAGCAATTCATTTTGCCTGTTGGGTCAGTAAGGCTAGAAAGAGAAAAGGGACTTTGATCTGTGCCTTTAAAAAATGAAGAGAAATGCAAATCAAAACCACAATGAGATACCATCTCACACCAGTTAGAATGGAGATCATTAAAAAGTCAGTAAACAACAGGTGCTGGAGAGGATGTGGAGAAATAGGAACACTTTTACACTGTTGGTGGGACTGTAAACTAGTTCAACCATTGTGGAAGACAGTGTGGCAATTCCTCAAGGATCTAGAACTAGAAATACCATTTGACACAACAATCCTATTACTGGGTATATACCCAAAGGATTATAAATCACGCTGCTATAAAGACACATGCACACGTATGTTTATTGTGGCATTATTCACAATAGCAAAGACTTGGAACCAACCCAAATGTCCATCAATGATAGACTGGATTAAGAAAATGTGGCACATATACACCATGGAATACTATGCAGCCATAAAAAATGATGAGTTCATATCCTTTGTAGGGACATGGATGAAGCTGGAAACCATCATTCTCAGCAAACTATCGCAAGGACAGAAAATCAAACACTGCATGCTCTCACTCATAGGTGGGAATTGAACCATGAGAACACTTGAACACAGGGCGGGGAACATCACATACTGGGGCCTGCTGGGGGGTGGGGGGAGGGGGGAGGGATAGCATTAGGAGATATACCTAATGTAAATGATGAGTTAATGGGTACAGCGCACCAACATGGCACGTGTATACATATATAACAAACCTGCACGTTGTGCACATGTACCCTAGAACTTAAAGTGTAATTAAAAAAATAAAAATAAAAAATGAATAGAACATTCTAAGACATAGGGTAGCAAAGAGCGGGACATTTCAAAAGGAGTAAATAACATGGGCAAAAGAAGGGAAACTTGAAAGTCCTTGAGAACTCAGAGAATGTCACTAGTTAAGCAAGGTTAGATCACAAAGTGTTTGTAGGAAAGAAAAAAGGCAATTATTCTAGAAAGCTAGGCTAGTACCTCATGTGCCTTTTTAAGTAATTAAGCTTGCCACCGAAGGATTTTTAAATAAAGAAATGCCTGAAAATTATCTGCATGTAATCAAAGAAATTACCAATGGGACATGTAGAGAGGGACTATAGTGGAGAATTTAGAATGAAATCTGGAGAAAACACTCATGTATAATGAGTGAACAGAGGAAGAGGATCCAATGAGAAGTCAAGAAGGAACAGGCAATGAGAAGTAGGTGTTAAGAAGGGAGTAGCCAATTATTACTTGGCAGAGAGATCAATAGGAATAAGGACCACAGGTTCCAAAGTTGTGTTTTAATTTCCCTACTTAGAAAGTAAAGGTGGTACTTTGGATAGCTGAGATGTTGCAAAACGAGCAACATGTAACCACACAACACTAAACACAAAGTATTACAACTAGCAAACCCAGATTTTAAATGGATGAATAATAAAAATAGATTATGTTTTGCACTCTTAGAGCATTTTATCAGGTTTAAGTCTCCCAGTATACTGTGAAACTCAGGAATATTTTTACATTGTTTTAAAGAGTCATCCCCAGAATTTGGTAACTGATGATCCAATGATCTTTTAAAAAAATATTTATGTAAACGTGTGCCATTTCACCAAAAGTTACATTGAAATGGTCAAGGCAAAGGCTTTTCTTTTTATACGAACAGACTGAAACATTAAAGCTGGGGACCTTGGGTATTATCTAGTATATTCCCCACTGCCTCCATTTTGCAGATGAGGAAACTGAAGTTCAGAGGGGTCAAATGACTCCCTCCATGCTACTTGAATAGTTATTGGCAGAAATGGGAATCAAAATCAAGTCTCACGACACCTCTTTAAGGGTGTATTTTCACTATATCACACTGGTGCTTCTTAAAAGTTAGTGACTGGAAAGTAGAAAATGATCAGTAGCAACAGGCTGAATCCCAAGCAGATGTTCTAGTGAGGTAAAGCTTATGGCATGGAGCAGAGACATCATTAACAAATACTGCTAGATTTGCCATGAAGGAAGTGAGTTTTATGACTCAAAACAAAACCCCACAAAGGAGAATTTTGGCAGTCTCAGGTCAACTTTCAGCAGCCCTTGCTTGAGACTCAGCTTGCTTAATGGGCTGAGCTACTCTAGGACTTCCTGGGGCTCATTATACAATGACTATGGTCTTTAGACCTTGAGATTTGGAGCTTAAGCTGCTTGTCTTGTCAGAGACAGACTAGCAATGACTGTTAATATTAAAGAGCAATAATAGATCATTGGGATTTGAATTAGGGGAAACAATTCAAGTTCTCTTTGGAGGACATAGAGATATTATGCAAGAAAGCATAGAATAAAAAGTATGTTGTCAACTATGTTTTAGTCACAGAGACTTGAATAAGCAAAATCATATATGAGCTATATCTTCTCATGGTTTTCCCTCTTAATTCCAGGTCGCACGAGTAAAGTTATTGCTTTTTACCTATTGACAAGAGATAAATGTCATGTTGAAATAAAACATACAGTAGCAATACAGAGTTATTTGTTCTTCTGGGTGGTACAACAAATGATGAAACCAAAGCAAAATCTAGCTCACAAATCTACAGGGCAGGACAAACCCCACATAATTAATTCAGGCAGCCCTTCTAATAGTTGCTACTAATTTAACGTCCAAACAACAGTACCTTAAATTTATGGCTTTCTAATCAAGACCTCTAGAACTTGTGGACAATTAAATTGTAAAATCTAAAAAATTCGGAAATGTATTCTTTAAAACACATGAATATGTGAATCAACGTATCTTTCCCTAACCTCATAGCAACTGGTGGCAATGAAACGTTCTGGCCCTATGAAGGAGAAAGTGAAACATGGGACTTGCTATCATCTGCATGGATGAGCTTCCCTTTTACCCAGGTGAAAGACATTTTGATGAACAAATTTCACTGTCAATGATACTTTTGAGACTGGGTGCATATATCTGATTGTGTTTTCTTTTGTTCCTCAAAGTATTTCTCCTTACGGGGGCTGCATTAGCCTGTTAGAAAGCATTGCAAAAATGGTGATAATTCAGGTGAGGGTGCATTTTTTGACAAGGCCTATGAGAAACTTGGATTGTTCACTTTTCAATTCTAAACTGAAGATGAGAATAAGTGTAAATGAGAAGATAGGGCTGAACCTTGCTGAGCTTATGGTGAAGAGGACTGGAAAGGGTGCCCTAAACCTGTTGACTACTGATGTACTTCATTATGTAAATCTCTCATCCAATGGAGAGCTTGCTGAATCAAGAGTTTGCTGCCTCTGTTAAATTCTAACTTTCATTCTGTTGGGGAATTTTCACATTGGACTGGGATCAATATTTTGTCCGGCCAAGAATAATCACTATAGACAGTGATGCATATAGATCTACAATCTCCTTCTACTCAAGATCGTGTTTAAAAACTCTTTTGATATTTTCTATTAAGTAACCTATCCGGTATTCACAGTCTTAAAAGGTAAAATATGTACTATTGTGGGAAACACTGTGAAAATGTACAGCTCAATAAAAGTCTTCATTTATATATATATATTATATATATCAATATGTGTGTATATATATGCATATATATACTTATATATGTATGTATATGTAAAAAAGCACATATATATATTTGTGTGTATCTCATCTATATACATGCATATATAGTTGTCCTTCTTATTTTCCTAGTCATGAGCTTTCTAGCACTGCCTGTAATTTCTTCCTCCTTTATTAAGCAGAAAAGAGTTAGAACAGTAATCAGAAAAGTGATGAAGTCCATAGTTTCTCATAAGTCACTAGAAAATAGACTCAACTCTTTTTATCTCTCCACCATTTTTAAAACTGGGAGTTACAGGACAAAGAGAGTCCATATGATTTTGGTAGCTGGAAGGAAATGATAGGACAGCAATGGGTATGAGTTTACCATGGATGGCCAAGCAGAGTGCTCTAGAACAGTGGTTTCTGTCCCATGCTCTGTTGCTGTTCAGCATGATGTCCTTAACTTCTATTCCCCAGTTAGTTTTGTTGCCTAGAAAAACAGTGATGAATTATTGACTCATGTTAATTGCTCTTCATTTACTTTGAAACATGTTTTACTAAGTACAATTTCCAAACTGTTAAATTATATTCCAGCAGAGGTAATTCTAAAAAGTCACCCCATTTGGAAGATGTCATGAGTATAGTGGGAAGGAAGAAAAGGGAGAAAGGGAAAGTCACAGTGCATTACTCCATGGTTCTTTGAGAAATAAAATTGCTGCCAACACATGTCAGTGTGACAAATTCCTGAGCACATTTTACAGCTTCTTAGAGATGTTTAAGAGGCTGTATTAGTCAGCAGCTATGAAGATCACCAATGAACAGCTGAATGATTCTCTGCTTAAGTTAGTATAAACCCAGTTAACAGAAAAATGAAGAAAAATGAAAGAATAGGGCATTGTGGTTTATTGGTTTTTTTTTAATACCCATGATGCTTTATGGGTTATCAAGACACCCTATGAAGACAAAGAAGGTGTATAGAGACCATACTCTTGTCATTATTGTCTCTAAATGATGAGCAGCCCAAAATGAAAGTCTCCTTCTGATGGGGTGGCGGAGGACGGGGGGGACTTAGGAAATGTGTTTTCAGAGCAGTGTAGCACTGGCATTGCCCAGCATTTAAAAAAGAAACAACCATGAGTAATAAGTATTGGTTATTCCAAGTTTGAAGAATGCAAAGGCTATACATTACTGACTTGAGAGCAGAAAAGTTTTCTTCTTTTATGAAAGCAGTGACCCCCAAACTCTGTCATTGGTAACAATAATTAAAAGGTGCTCTAAGAGGAAATGGATGGATGATTGTCACTAAGAGGCACATTCTTATTAATTTATTACCAATTTTTAACTTTGCTTCATTAGGACATGTCTGCTGAAGGCCATTTAGGACTCAGGGGATATGCCTGCACTTCATATTGCCTCCATATTGGTTCCAGGAGGGAGGATCATTTCAGTTTGTTGTCCTCCATGGACCTATACATGCAGAGAGGTGGAGAGAAATCTATTGCCTTGTAAATTTTCCAATTAGGGAAGTGGTCAACTTCTTTAGGATGTTCTTGGAACTGACTGAGTAGGCTTTTAAGAGTCAGTTCTGGAAAACAATCATTAGTTAAGCAAATTGTAAAGCAGTTTGCATCTTATTTATGCTTCTGCCTCTGTGAGAAATATGAATAAAACTCGTCCCTGTCTTAGATAAATTATAAATGTTATCTGAGGATCCTGGAAAGCACCCAAAGCTTAAGTTCTCTCAGTGTATTTTGCTCTCTGTGTTTCAGTTGTCATATACTTCATGAAGATTGCCTTAGGGGGAGAGGATGAGCTCTCAAGATGTCTGATCTTAGAGCCATTCAGCAGGTACCACTAGATTTCATAGCATAGGGTTCAGCCCAGAGATGTTTTCTGAATGAGCTCACTTGGTAGGAGAGTTTTTCTTCTTTTTAAAACTACTTCTGGTGAAATACATTATTCCTATTATCTCTCTGCCTTAGGGATAAACATACAGATCTATGTCTCTTGGTTTCCCCATGGGTATCTCTTGTGATACAGCTGTAAAGACATAAATTTATCTATCCCAGAGTGGGCAATCACCAAGGACAATAGAATTAGGCATTTGTTGACTTTCTGTAGCGTAATTTACTAGAGTTTGTCTTTGTCTCCTATAGAAAAGTAAATGCCATGCCAAATGCCCTTGAACTTTATCTGAAAGGATCAACTGTTTAGGAGTCTCTAGGGTGAAATTTTCCCCATAGTTACCATTGCTTTCATCTCCACAAAGCCTAGCAGAAAACCTGGTATAAAGTAGAACCTGAGTAAATGAATAATTGAATAAAATGTTAATTCATGTCATGAATGCAATGGCCTTTTATATTATTTTCCTCCTTTGTGCTAAGTATAGAGAATATGACCTGAGACCATTTGAAATAAACTCTTGAAAAAAAACTAGAAATTGTATCTGCTTTAGCTATACAACTAAAGGAAAGATTTTATTTAATTTGACTGAAAGCTTGAACATCTGAATTATGCTTTCAGGAATATTTTAACAAACCTATTAAAGACAAGAGAACCCCAAATTGCCTTGGTAAAAATAAATGCATCAAATGAATCCATTATCCAAATTCGTAGACCACTGTTTACCAATAATTAACAAATCCAATGGTTATTAAGAACTTAGCCCCCTCTAATGGAGCAGACCATAGGGAAATATCAAAGAAGTGCTAACAGCTGGCTTGTTAATATTCTCATTCTTTTTTCTTTTACAAGAAAAAAGCAAATGGGAAAGCACAAAAGCAATTATACAGTAGTGCTGCTTTAGATAAACCAGAAGAAGTAAAGTACTAAATGAATTGATAGCATAACCATATCGCAGATCATAAATGCTAATATTGAATCATAGATATATAAAATGTTATGAGTTTAAGAAATGCTAATATATAAGAAATTGATTTTATTCTTTGGTAAATACTTTTTCTAAGAGAAAGGCCCAGCCACAAATCCTAACCTGGGGAGGAGCATTTATCTCATTAAGTCGTTACTACATGCCATCTGTTTAAAGTCAAACCGACAGGAATGAGCCCTTTAAATAGCAAGGAGACCAAAAAGAATGCCAGCTTTCACCTTTCCCTCATATTTTCTTTTTTATACCTTTATTTGTAATCATTGTGAATGTATCAGAACAAGTGAAAATGAAGGCTAAATACAGAGTTAGTCCTTTCGAGAGAAAAGAGCTATTCTATCTTTTGGATTCCCTCTGCCCTTCCTCAACAACTCCTGGCCACTCAAATAAGGTCTTTTCTGAAAAGCCACTTGGTCAAAGATGTCTTTCCTGACTCATACATGGAAAGCTCTCTGGCCACATGTGTTGCATATTGCCTGGATCTTAACACTCATCATATTAATACTTATGTTCCCAGGGTGCTAAAACAACATTTATTTCTGGCACAGTTCTATTCTTTTCAGTACTCAGTAGAGTGCTTGAAACATGGTAAACATTCAATCAACACTTGTTGAATAAATGAACAAATAAACGAATGAAAACCTTAAATGGTAAAGGTAGATCGTTCCAACATCACCTTCAAATTAAGTAGAGATTTTCAGATGATATTTTATGGGCATCAACTGGGAAGGTACATTTAGTCATTTAGAAACATTTTTTTAATCTGCAGAACTTTTTGCTTGTTAAGACTGGCATAAGTATTCTATATTAGATAATGAGTCCAAAGACATGTCTATCTCAGTAGTGCCCAACTCATTTAATATTTTTATGTCTTTCTGTCTATGTGTGTGTGTTTATGTTGTGGGTGGAGATGTCAGGTGAATCTCTCTACAATGTGTTGCTTTAAGATGCTCTAAGTTCCTAAAAGTTTATTTATAGAAGATATGTTTTTGAGTTTTTGTCTCTTGCAGTTCTGAGAGACTGCTTGGATCTGAAATTTTAGACTCAGGCTTAGATCCAAAGAGAAACCAACTAATTATTATGAATCTGGAACCCATTCTTTGGGCCACTTCATTTCAGCTACTTATAGTAATAGTTTTGCTATTACTGTAGTCATATTAGACTACCTCACCTCACCCAACAACTTACACTGGGACTCAGGACCCAGGCTGAAGGAATCTATTACACATATGTGCACATTTGGGGCTATTAAAGTCCAGCAAATAAAACTTAAGGCTAAAGATTGGTAAAATCAAGTTGTACTAAAAGGAGAAGCAATATGATTTATTACCTTCTACTTCAGGTGGTAATCAAACTATTTCAGTTTAAGTATGTCTGAGGCAAGTATATAAAAACCAAAATTAATGTTCACACACCTTCATGAATACTAAATACTAAATGACTAAGACAGTAAAATAATGCAAGAAAGAAGAAAAAAACTTTTAAAATATCATTAACCTTTACTTCAATTTCATTACTTGAAGTCAGGGGGATGCTCTGTGTAGTTTCCAGCTTTTAGTCATTTTTGTTTCTGAACACTGATAGCGTAATGAATTAAGCTGCTGCAAAACATCTTGCTAGAGTTGTTTTGAAGTAAGCAGAATTTATATTTAATTTTGAAAGATTGAACTTCAAAATTTTTAGTGTTTTAAAGTTGCTCCTCAACTTTTTAATTCCAAGAAAATAATATAAACTTTATAAATTTGTCAACATTGTGTTTATGTGTATGTATAACAATTTCTCTGTTTCATCTTAATTTTTGCATTTATGTACTAATATATGTCATCCAACAACTTGTGAGTGATAATTGCTATTTTTCTTTATTAATTTATTTGTTTTTTAATTGACAGATAAAATTGAATGTTTTTACTGTGTACATCATGGTGTTTTGAAGCAATAAACATTGTGGAATGAATTAATGTAGCTGATTAGTGTATTCATTACCTCACATAGTTATTATATTTGTGATGATATTTATCCATTTTCTTAGCATTTTTCAAGAATATAATATATTGTTATTGGTTGTAATTACTATATTTTGCAATAGATCTCTTGAACTTATTCCTCCTATTTAACTGAAATTTTGTAGCCTTTGGTAAACACCAAGCCTCCTCCCGCTTCCAATAGCCCCAGGCCCTGGTAACCACCATTGTATTCTCTAGTTCTACGAGATCTGCTTTTTTAGATTCCATATATGAATGAGTTCATATAATACTTATTTTCCTGTGTCTGCTTTATTCCATATAACATAATGTGTTCCAGGTTCATCACTGTTTTCACAAATAGGAGGATTTCCTTATTTTGTATGGCTGAATAGTATTCCATTCCATACACCACATTTTCTTTTTCCATTAGTTTGTTGATGGACACTTAGATATAATCTATATCTTAGCTATTGTGAATAATGCTACAATAAACATGGCAGCACAGTATTTCTTTGAGATATTGATTTCATTTCCTACAGATATATACCCAGAAGTGGGATCACAGAATTATAAGGTAGTACTATTTTTAATTTTTTGAGGATCCTGCATACTGCTTTCCATAATGGCTGTACTAATTTGCATTCTTATCAACAGTGTTCAAGGAATCCGCTTTCTCCACATACTCTGTAACATTTGTTATCTTTTGTCTTTTGGATAATACCAAATTCTAAGTAGTGTGAGGTGATTTCATTCTAGTTCTAATTTGCATTTCTCTGCTGATTAGTAATGTTGAGAATTTTTCAAATACCTATTGGTAATTTTTATGTCTTCTTTGAAGAATGGCTATTCAAGTTATCTGCCTATTTTCCAATTGGGTTATTCATTTTCTTGCTTCTTGATTCTCTGTTCTAGTCTATTGGTCTATGTGTCTGTCTCTTTTTATGCCAGTAGCATGCTGTTGTGTCTGCTATAGCTACTATAGCTTTGTAGTATATTTTAAAGTCAGGTAGTGTGATGACTAAAGATTTATTCTTTTCTATCAATTTTTGGGGGTCTGTTTGAGGCTTTTTATTGTTCCATACAAATTTTAGGATTTTTTTCTATTTCTGTGAAGAATGTCATTGTTACTTTGATAAAGATTACATTGAATCTCTAGATTTCTCTAGGTAGTGAGGGCATTTAAAAAATATTAATTTTTGTTGTTGTTTTTGTTGTTTTTTGGAGACAGAGTCTCACTCTGTTGCCCAGGCTGGAGTGCAGTGGCACCATCTTGGCTCACTGTAACCTCTGCCTCCTAAGTTCAAGCAATTTTCGTGCCTCAGCCTTCCAAGTAGCTGGGATTATAGGCACGCACCAACATGCCTGGCTAATTTTTGTATTTTTAGTAGAGACGGGTTTTTGCCATGTTTGCGAAAATGGTCTCCAACTTCTGGCCTCAAGTGATCTGCTCACCTTGGCCTTCCAAAGTGCTGGGATTTACAGGCTTGAGCCACTGCACCCAGCATCAATATTAATTATTTCAATCTGTGAACATCAGATGTCTTCCCACTTATTTGTCTTTTTCAATTTCTTTCATCAAGGTTTTATAGTTTTTAGTGTAGAGAACTTTCACCTCATTGGTTAAATTTATTCCTCAGTATTTAAAAAAACTTTTGATAGCTGTTATAAATGTTCTTTTTTCTTGATTCCTTTTACAGGTAGTTTGTTGTTAATGTACAGAAACATTACTAACTTTTGTATCTTGATTTTGTGTCCTGCAGCTTTACCAAATTCATTTATTAGTTCTAACAGTTATTTGGTGAAGTGTTTAGGGTTTTCTAAGTATAAAATCAAGTCATCTTCAAACAGGGGCAATTTAACATCTTTATTTCTTATTTGTATGCCTCTCATTCTTTTCTTTTTCCTAATTGCTCTGGCTAGGTCTTCCAGTACTATTTTAAATTGAAGTAGTGAGAGTGGGCATATTTACCTTCTTCCAGAGGTTAGAGAAAAAGCTTTCAATTTTTCCTTGTTGGGTATGGTAGTGCTGAGTTTGTAATATATGGCCTTTATGAGGTACATACTTTCTAAACCTAATTTGCTGATGGTTTTCATTATGAAAGGATGTAGAATTTTGTCAAATGGTTTTTCTCCATCTATTGAAATGATCATATTAGTCTTTCTTGCATTGTGCTAATGTGATATATTACATTTATTGATTTACATACGATGAATCCCACTTGATCATGTAGAATGATATTTTTAATGTGCCATTGGATTTGGTTTGCTAGTAATTTGTTCAGAATTTTTGCATCTATGTCCAACAGGAATATTGGCTGACAGTTTTCTTTTTTTGCAGTGTCCTTGTTTGGTGTTGGTATCAGGGTGATGCTGGCCTCAGAGAATGAGTTTGGAAGTGTTCTGTCCTCTTTAATTTTTTGGGGGCTAGTTTGAAAAGAATTAGTATCAGTTTTTCTTTAATTGTTTGGTAGAACTCAGCAGTAAAACTATTAAGTCCTAGGCTTTTCTTTGATGGAAACCTTTATTACTGAGTCAATCTTCTTACTATTGGTCTGTTTCAATTGTTTATTTCTTTATAATTTAATCTTGATAACTTTTATGTTTCAAGGAATTTATCCATTTCTTCTAGGTTATCAAATTTATTGGCATATAATTGTTCATAATAGTCTAGTCTCTTATGATCTTTTGTATTTGTGTTATATCAGTTGTGATATCTCCTTTTCTATTTCTGGTTTTATTTATTTGAGTCTTACCTTTTTTTTCTTAGTTAACATAGCTAATGATTCATAAATTTTGTGTTTAAAAACCCAACCCTTAGTTTTGCTGACCTTTTGTTTTGTTTTTTTTCTAATCTCTATTTCATTTATTTCTGCCCTGATTTTTATTTTTATATTATTTCTACTATCATTGGGCCTAATTTATTCTTATTTTTCTAGTTCCTTGAGGTGCAGTGTTAGCTTGTTTATTTGAGATCTTTCTTTCTTTCTTTTTTCTTTTTCTTTCTGTATTTATTGCTATAAATGTGCCTCTTATAAGTTCTTTTACTGTAACCCATAAGTTTTACTATATTGTGTTTCCATTTTTGTCTTTAGGTATTTTTAAATTTCCCTTTTAATTTCTTCATTGATCGATTGGTTGTCCAAGAGCATGGTTATTTAACTTCCTTGTATTTGTGAACCTCCTGAAGTCCTTTGTGTTACTTATTTTTAGTTTCATATCATTGTGGTCAGAAAAGATACTTGATATTATTTTAATATTCTTAAATTTGTTAAGACTTTTTTTGTGGTCTAATGTAGATCCACTGTGAATAATGTTCCATGTGCAGTTGAGAAGAATATGCATTCTTCAGCCTTTGTTTGGAATGTTCTGTATATGTGTGTTAGGTCCGTTTGATCTAAAGTGTAGTTTGAGATCCATGTTTCTTTATCCATTTTCTGTGTGGATGATCTGTCATTGATGGAAGAAGAGCATTGAAATCTCCTATGCTTATTTTACTGTAGTCTTTTCCTTTAGATCTATGAATATTTGGTTTATATATTTAGATACTCTAATGTTGAGTGCATATATATTTACAATTGTTAGATCCGGTTGCTAAATTTACCCCCTTATTATTTTACAGTAACATTCTTTGCCTGTTTCTACAGATTTTGACCTAAGGTCTATTTTATCTGATACTCCTGCTTTCTTTTAGCTTCCATTTGCATGGAATATCTTTTTCCATCCCTTCATCCATGGGTGTTCTTCCAGGTGAATTGAGTCTCTTATAGGTAGCATACATTTGAGTCCTTTAAAAAGGCCATTTAGCCACTCTGTGTCTTTTGATTTGGGTTAACAATTTACATTCATTGTAATTATTGATAAGTAAGGACTTATTGCTACCATTGTGTTAATTGACTTCTAGTTGTTTTGTAGATCTTTGTTCTTTTCTATCTTTCTTGTTATCTTCCTTTGTAGCTAAGCAATTTCCTCTAGTTTTATGTTTGACTTTTTGTTTTTTGTGTATATACTGTACATTTTTGGTTTGTGGCTTTCATGAGGCTTACAAAAACATCTTATAGTCATAACAGGTTATTTTAAATGTATAACAACTTAAATTTATCTCAACAACAACAAAAAACTCTACAGTTTTACTCCACTACCTTCCCAACATTTTACATTTTTGATATCCCAATTTATATCTTTTTATATTGTAGAGTCCTTAAAAAGTATTGTAGCAATTATTATTTTAGTAGTTTTGTCTTTTAAGCTTCATGCTAAAGATATAGTGATTTAAACACCAACATTACAGTATGAAGAGCATTATTAATTTGACTGTGTGTTTACTTTTACCAGAGATTTTTATCATTTCAGATTTTTATTTTTTTATCTGAAAAGATAAAAGCAAGTTTTCCTGTTACTTATTAGTGTCCATTTCTTTCATCTTAAGCTCCCTTTCAGCATTTCTTGCAAGATAGGTTTGGTGGTGATAAACTCCCTCAGCTTCTGTTTGAGAAAGTCTTTATCTCTCATTCACTTTTGAAGGACAGTGAAGTGGCGGGGTAGGCCCAAAGCCTTGGGCTGCTGTGGCCAGCAAGGGGTTGGGTTACACCCAAAGTCAGAGTCCACTGTGGCCAGCATGCATGTCACTGGGGTGAGCTGGAAGCTCAAGGCGACCAAGGCCTGCCAAGCACTGAGAGCTGTCCACTTCCTGTCACCATTAAGGGCATACTGGAGATTGAGTCTACCTCACAGGCCTGAAGCCTGAGGCTGGAGGGGTCCTACCTAGCATGAGGGCATGTCTGGAGGCTCAGCCTGTGGGTACTGGCCTGGATTCTGGTACTGTGGGGCCTACCTGTTGTTGGGTTTTGCAGTGGCCAACCTAGTGTTAGGGCACAGGCAAGGTACTGTGCTCACTTTCCTCTCTTTCCTGACATGGACAGTATTTGTTGCTGGACTTTGCTGCCTAGGATTGGGAGATGGGCAATGTGGGTAATATAAGACTATCACTCCTACTCTCTTCAATATTTCTTTTCTTATTGTGCTGCAAACACTTACTATAATCTCTCACCTGATTTCCTTAGCTCTTGTGAAAAAGTATTTTAGTGCATGGATAATTTTTCAAATTGATGTCTCTGTGGAGAGTCCCATCCTACCATTTTGCTCTGCCCCTCTGATTTTGCTTTCTTTTTTTATCTTTATTTCTTCTGCCTCTTTTATCCTTTCAGACTACAAAATAAGTAAATGTAATCAAATGTTATTGAAAAAAGGGGTCAAATTCAAGCCTAATTTTAAAGCAATATTATTAGTTATATTTTTCCCATGTATATTTTTAATGTATAATTCTTAACATAGATTTGGCATTTTTTAACACAGTGTTTTCAAATTATATTATGACATAAATTACTAGGTATAGAGACTCATGCTTCTATTCTACTCAATCTCATATTTTTCATCTTAAATGTCACATGACCCCTAAAGAAAAATTGCAATGTATCACAGTATCTTTGTACTTCAAATGCCAATCACTGGAAATGCTATGTTGTAGCAATATATAATGTAGTCAATTTCAGTAAGATTTACATTTTTTTTCCTGTCATTATTAGTGAAAGTTTTGCTCTCCCAATACACATGATATCCTGGTAATCTCTCAGCTAAATTCTGGAAGGATGGAGAGGAGAGGTGTTTGCATTGACGGGGTTTGAAGTCTTTCAGGGTGTGTGTAGCAGAATGCAAAGTGGATGAGGCTATTGAGAAGGTCTATAAATATTGAGGAAAGACTGAAATGTGTGGGTGATGAGAGAAGAAAGTAATTCAGGAGGAGTCAATGGATTAGGAAAGGTCTCCATTAAGTCTAAGGCCTAATACAGTAGGAGTAAGGGAGTGAAAACTGAATAAACAACAGTATTTTTAAGGTGGCTAATGAAGCTTTCAGGGATGGGGCAATTCCCAATGATGATTAGATAAGAGTGAAATTACAAAGACATGCTGTGGAAATGGAGAAGTGATCATGGAACTTCAAATCTACTTAACTGACAAAATTGTAACTAAGATTGTGGCAGAAATTGGGGCTCAAGTAAACCTGTGACCTGAATGCCACTGTTATCAGTGAATTAGTTAAGTCCCTTGGATGTAGGTAAAACTGCAAGGGGATAGAAGGCAATAATAGGCAGAGCTCAAAGAAGAAAGACTTCACCTCTAGTGAGTTAGAGCAATGAACTTGTAATCTGGAAGCCATAAATCTTTCCACAGTGAAGAACTGTAGAGAGCCATTTTTGTCACAGAGAAAAAGTAGGCTCCACTGAAGAGAAGTGTGCTTTCTTTGGAGATGGGCCAAGTTTCCAAAATGGAAAGGAGGTGGAAGGAGTTTCTTCTGAAGAAAATGAGGAAATAGAAGACACTAACAGACACTGTTTGTGCTCCACTCAGATCCCACTCAATCTCTCTTACCATTTTTATGAACCTTAATTGCCCATGTCCCAGTGCCCATCTCCCCACCTTCACAGCCCTAAGTGTGAAAGCCCAGCAACCCTTAGGGTTCCCAGATTTACTAATCAAAACACAGGATGGCAAGTTAAATTTGAATTTCAGGTAAATGGCAAATACTTTTTTTAGTAAAAGTTTGTTGCATGCAATACTCGAAACATACTTTTGCTAGAATTAATGGTTGATCTGAAATTCAGATTTAATTGGATGTCTTGTACTTCATTGGGCAACCTTATGATGGGGACAAACTTATATGTGTAATTTATGCTCCCAAACTCTGTGACATCAGGTGAGGCCAATTCATTGCTTGAAAGTGGACCCTTGGTTGCCTTCTTCTCTCTCCTTGCCTGTTTCCCACATCTCCTTGCAGGTCTCTCCTAGTAGTTTTTCCCTAGTGAGTCACTTGTACAGGAATCTTTGTCTCAGGGTTTGCTTTGCTGAATCTGAATTATGATGGAGAGTATACTTAAAGAGAGACCAAGTATATCGTTGAAAGAGTTTCATGAAAGATTAGCAATGACACCATAGGGTCAGGAATAAGACAAAGAGAAGGAAACTACTCACAGTTTTATAAATGAGAAAAATTGTCACTTGGTAAAGGTTAACTTGCCAAGCTAATACAATTAGAAAGTGGCAGGGCTGAGTGCCAAAGTCTGTGCATGTCTCCATACAACATTCCTTCCCTAAAACAAAAGAACAACATCTATGTAAGGAATGGATTGAGTGCAGGGCATTTTCAATATACCACCTAGCTCCATCCACAGTGCACAATATGCTGATGTTATAGAAAAGGGCCTGGTTTATATTTTGTGTGATCTCTTAAAGAAATAGAGATCAGAGCAATGGATAAAATCAAATGACTTCAAGACCTGAGGGCTGAAATGACCATGCTGGTAAGTTGGAAGAGTCCAGAGCTAGGAGGCTGCTGGGTGTTTTCTGGGTGCTGAAACCACTGGTAGTACCTTCCAGTAGTATTGGTAGGACCAGAATGGGAGGGAAATCAGCTTTCCAAATGCCCTTAATGTAGCACATACACATAATTTCAGAAGACCTTCCAATATGAATCACTTCAATGTTTACATGCACATTTTTGTCCCTTATTATTTACATTTTAATTATGAAATGTACTCAGGGTTCAAAATCACAAACATTTTTGGGTGAAAGCATGAGGACATTATTTTAAAAGTAAAATGTAGTTGCTTAAAGATACATTAGTGATTTATGTATCATTTTCATTGTGATTTCTTTACTAGGACCTATTTTTGCTTTTATTTCCATTAATACACATTTGCTAAGTATGAAATATTAGTGATGTTTAATAACTAATAATAGTTGGTGTTTTCATTTGGGAGAGATTAAAAGTTTGGTGTATGTGTATCTGGGAGAGGTAGAATATATCTTTGGCATTTGGACAGCTGTGGCTCCAAAATTTGGAGTTAAGAGGCAAGCAAAGAGTGTTTTATTGCCAGTATCTAAAACAAATTTTATTGGAAACTTTTATGTTTGTAGGTTTGAGTAGTTTTTATAGTGAAGAGTTCTGAAAATTGCCATAAAATTTTGCTTTGGGGGTTATGATTACATTTGTATATTTCTCAAACTTATATAAATAAAAAAGACAGTTTTTACTGTGAAAGCTTAAAAGGTTAGGGAGGTATTTGGTCTGTGATGAACGTTTTATAGGTTTGATGTTATCAGAATTTATTTTAAAAATATCAGTAAAAATACAACCTTAGAGGTCTTGATAAATTGCAAAATACTTGAAGTTTTCCTTTTAAAGGGACTCACTAATTTAATGAATTTTCTGTACTTTGAAAACTATTTTTAATATTAGCTGATGCTACAATTGTACATGGTCTGATACATAATTTATAATACTTTTTGGTGGCTAGATAGTATTAGGGGTAGAATTTTCCTTGCGAGAGCTGTTTAAGCATAAGCTGGACAATAACTGTGCTGGGAAATTATAGAGGATATTGAAACATCATAGAGGAGACTAGATGAACCCTAAGATCACTTTCCAAACCAGACAGTGTGATTTTTAAGCTGTACAAGGAGACATTTTAAAATTAATATGTGGATATGTTCCTCTTTCTTCTTCTTCTTTTACACCTTCCTTTGCAAAAACACGTTCTAAATCATATAGGAAGAGGAGAAGGAAGTGGGAAAAAAGAAAGAGACCGGGGGGAAGGAAGGAGGGAGGAAATTTTTATAATGTAAATATGTATCACACATGATCTGAATAACTGTGAAAAGAAGGAAACATTTCTTTATTTTCTAAATGATGTAACTGAGTCAATGCAGAGCTAGAATTCAAACCTAAGTCTTCCTGATACCCAAGCTTGTACATTTCCCCATTATACCTTAAAAACATTTTATTACTTAGCATGAAAGGTGATGTGATAAGTGAGAAAGTGACATGTTATGAAGCAGCTTGCCAATTCATTATGACTCTCAGATAGCATGGATTTGTGCTTCAAAAGTAGTTGTCTGTATATTTCTGGGTCAGTCAGTCAGACAATCTGAAAATATCTCTTGGTCACCTATTATGTTTGAGACACTTCTAGGCACTGTAGATATAGCAGTAGGCAAAGTAAATAGAGTTATTGCCCTTAGAAAGCGTACCTTCTAAGTCATAAGGGAAAATGGGAGAGGAGACCAACAATGAACATAAATAAGACAACTCCAGACCTCGATAAGTGTTTAAAAGAAAAAAGAGAGAGAGTGAAGAGAGAAGCAGCATCATGAAAAATGATCTTTTGTTTTGAAGAAAAAAAAAATGAGGTCATGCCATGAAGGCAGCTTTAGATGTGATCAGGGAAAGGCTGTCTAAGGGGTGTCATGTGAGTTGAGATCTGTATTAGCATGAGAAGATCTGAGATCAAATCATTTCCAACTGGAGGAACAGCAACTGCAAAGCTCTGTGGCGAGAATATCCCTGGCAAATCCACAGGACAGAAAGTGCAGCCATCGGTACATGAGGAATACATGGAAGGAAGTGGCAGCATTTGGTGAGTAGTCTGGGGCCAGTCATTTACATCTTATAGATCACAGTGAAGAGTGTAGATGTTATTCTAATGATGATCAGAAGGCTCTGAAAAAGTTCAAGAATGGGAAAAATCAGGTATTTGTATTTTTGAATGATCATTCTATTCTGCAAAGAATAGGCTACAGAGAGGCAGGAACAGATTCATGGGGAGCAAGTAGGTGCCTGTTGCAATCAATTATCCAGGAGAAAGATAGACCAGGGAGGTTATAAGAGTGTTGTGAGTAGCAGTCAGATTGTGGGATTATATTTTGGAAGAACAGTTGACAGGAACTAGTGATATATTTTCATATAAGGACTGGAAAAAAGAGAGAAATTAAGGATGACTTGTAGATTTTGGAACCTAATTCCATTAGTTTTAAAAAGTGACATTTATCAAAATGGAAAAAAAATATAAAAGAGGACAGGAAAGAGAATTGGAGGATGACATGGAAACCAACAGTTCTGCTTTGGTAGAGTTAAGATTCAGACAAAGACATTTTGACTTTTAAGCAAAAAAGTAAATTTGGTTTGGCTATGAGTAGAAGGGGCCTTGGATGGTATAAAAAAGGTTGAGTGTAACTTGCTCAGGGCGTTAGAAACCATGCTAAAAAATTAGAAACCACGCTTTATCTTGTGGGAAGTGGGGGGTATCATAAGAATTTCTTTCAAGAAAATTACATGATTACATTTGTGTTTTAAACAGTTGCCTCTACCGACAGTGTGAAGACTGGGATAGAGGCAGAAAGAAAAATTAAGAGGCTCTTATGGTCATTCAGGAAATCCAGGAAATAATGAGGAAATTACCAGGTCAATGAGGATGGAGAAGGCCAATGAAGAATAGATTTATGAACATTTCACGAAACTTAAGAATAGGATTAGTGAATGGATGTAGGGATGAGGAAAATGCTGAGCTGCACAGAGTCTGGGTTTGCAAGTCTCAGGTAGAAAGATAGCCGTCCTTGGCCGGGCGCGGTGGTTCATGCCTGTAATTCCTGCACTTTGGGAGGCCGAGGCAGGTGGATCACCTGAGGTCAGGAGTTCGAGACTGGCCTGGCCATCATGGCAAAACCTCGTCTCTACTAAACATACAAAAAATTAGCTGGGCATAGTGACAGTCACATGTAATCCCAGCTATTTGGGAGGCTGAGGCAGGTGAATTGCTTGAACCCAGGAGGCAGAGATTGCAGTAAGCCTAGATCATGCCATTGCACTCCAGCCTGTGTGACAGAGCAAGACTCTGTCTCAAAAAAAAAAAAAAAAAAAAAAAGTAGCTGTCCTTGTCTTAGAGAAGTGAAAGATATAGAAGGAAACAGGAAGAGAAATAAGACATTTTCTCAGAGATCATAAATTTGATTTTGGACTTGCTGAATTTAAAGAATTGTTCAAGTTGATTTTTTTTTTCAGTAGGCACCTGGAGATATAGTATTCTTAGAGAAGTTGGATCTGGAGATCAAAATTATGAAGTTAGCAGCTGAGATGTGTTAACTAAAGCCATGGGAGTGGATTGAAGATGATGCTGCAAAATTTAGGGGAAATTGATGTTGGTTATGCAGTAAGATATCTGGGATTATCATGCTTTTCTCTGGGTAATATTTTTACAGACTAAAATAACCAAAGCTACTTGCAAAATACAGCAAACAAAAGAAATTTCCACAGTATGTGCCTACGTCTTTTGTTGCCCTGTTACCACTTTTCCCCTCCTCTCATTCTCTTGCTTTACCCTTTTACTGTTCAACATATTAAAATGAATTTTCCCACTTCCCTCCTCTCTTCAATATCATTCTCTCCCTCCACCACATGTATGCTACTTGGCACTTGGATCCAAAACATTATATAAGATATTTAGCCTTTTCTTTTTTTTTGGTGATAAAAATAACTCTTAATCAAATAAAATTAAGGTTATAGGAAGAAGAATGCCCTATACAGTATTGACCTTGTGAAGACGAATAGGAAAGTTAACATCGTGTACTGGAAAGGTCAGGGAATGTGTTGCTGAAGAATCTGGGTTTCACATCCAGCATTTCTACCTACTAATAAATGACCTAGGTCATTTATGTTAAGTCTTTTGAATTTCTGGTTTTGGTATTTAATGTTTATATAAGAGTTTATCTGTCTGGTGTTAGGAAATCTAAATGTCCACAGGCAAAATAGTGAAATTAGACTCATATCTTATACCACAAAATAACAAAAATTAACTTAAAGTGGGTCAAAGCTCTCACCTAAGACCTGAAACTGTAAAACTCCTTGAAGAAATCATAGGGGAATATCTCCTCATAAGAATACACACCTCACAGGATTGAAACAAGTATTAAATGGAATGATATATGTGAATGTGTTATGTAGAGAGCTGTACAGATTTTAGATTTTCATCTACTGTCTTGCTTACTCAATAAATGTTTGTTGAATGAATGATCACCTCTATTAAGAATTCTTGGATATGCTCCTATAGATCTGTCAGTCTACAAAATTGTTTCTTTAAGCATTTGCAGCTGCAGGATTTCTGGCCTTAGATATGCCTTTAATACTCTTCTGTATTTTTGGTTCTACTGGCTTATCTTAAGTCACACATGTATTAAATTATTATATGAAATGTATATAATAATTAGTAAATTATGCTAACACTAATATTCACTTTCTTCTTATTGATTCCACTTTTTCAATAATCTTGATTTCCCTTTTTCTGTAAATCTTTTTCATTCAATTCTCAACTATATACAAAGTACATACAAATATTTAAAATACTCTATAAAACTAAACATAAATGTATAGAAACAAGAGAAGGCTATCATTTAGTTAAGTCCCCATTCAGCCATGATTTTTATAAGTCCTAGTAAATCATATTTAACTTCTAACATTTTTCCTTATTGTAAAATATTCAAAATTGACTTGGAGGCTTGTCTTAAAAACTTGAAACTTAAAAACGATGATTACGTCTTAGGTCCTCTTATAGACCTGTATATAATTCTATGACCTCAAAAAGAGCATTGCACTACACAGTCTGTACTTTCTTTTTTTTCTATCAAATACAGTAAAGCCCCATTCCAAGCTCTGCTATTAGATTTGGCTAGATTGTAGTCAAAATTTAGCATAAATAAACTATAAAGATTAATAATGATGAAAATGTAATACTAGACCATAGACTTTATGATAGCAAAGACAATTTCATATATTTTAAATATACTTCCAGGATCTAGCACAAAAATTACCCATAAAAGCTTATGTTGAACTAATGTATTTTGTGTGCAACTACTTTTAGACAATGATTTCATAAATGTTGTTTCATGTAATTAAAGATTTCTTTCTTACCAATTTAGAAAGCACACTCATTGTCCACTGGCTTCTTTCTATTTCTTCAACATGCCAAGTTTGTTCTACTTCAGGATCTTTACCCTAAATATTTTTTTCTCATGGAATGCTCTTCCCCTGTAGACCTTTATACAGTTTGTTCCCTCACTTGGTTCAGGTCTCTCCTCAAATGGCCTTCAAAGGGTCACCCCTTGAACACATGATTTAAGTAATGTCTCCCTACCTTGGCCCTTGTTACCAATATCTGTGTAATTTTCCTAATGTATTTTTATTTATACCATTTACCACTATCAGAAATTAAACATTTCGTTTTACATTTGTATGTTGTCTGTTACTCCCACTAGAATGTGAAGTCTGTCTGTGTGGACAGGGATCTTGTCTGCATGGATCACTGCTATATTCCCCAAGCTTTGAAGAGTGGCTGGAAAATATTAGGTACTCAATAAAAATTTATTGAATTCACAAATGCATTCCTGATATTTTCATTTGATTTATTTCCCAGAAAACCTGGAAGATCTTTGAGAGTAGAAATTAAATCCTGTATCTTACTAGGATCAAAGTAACTGAGTAAATATTTACATTTACTGGGGCCTTGTTCTAATCCAGGCACTTGCATTTCCGCATTTAGTCCTCCCAAAAACTTTCTGAGGTGGTTATTATTATCTCCATTTCAATGATAAGGAAAAAGATTCAAAGAAGTTAAGTAATTTCCTCAGAATTATTCAGTTAGTCAGTGGCAAAGCTGACATTCAAACTGTTTATTTTGACTTGAAATCCTATGCTTTCTATTACTCACCTATGCTCTATTTAATATGGAAGCCGTCAGAACATTCCTGAATAGAAACATATTGCATTTCGTTTCTATTTTACAATCCAGTAGCAAAAATTTCTGTAGTTTACTTAATACTAAACTTGCAATTCCATGCTGCACTCAACAGTGCTGTCACACTGGGAACATCCTTTCTAACCTCTAAAACCTCCTGCTCCAAAATAGCCTCTCCGAACCTAATGGCTCCCAAATTTTCTTCTACTAGAATTCATTCATTCAGGGAACATTTTACACCAAATCTTAACAACTGAGTGAATCTCATCTGTGCGCTATCTCATCACTTAGGATCATAAAAACACGTTGCATTTTGTTAGATTTGTGTTACTAATATACTAAGTATAAAATAATTTGATGTACAGCAGAAGTTGTTAATCCATTACTAACAAAAATAAATAATAAATATTTAAACAAAAAATTGGAAAGATATAAAATCAAAGAAAGAATTGTCAAAAAATAATTGCATGAGATAAGTAAAACAAGCAAAGGAAGACTTTATTCAAGAGTATTGTAATAGGGAAACAGATTGAACTCAATTCTACTGTAACAAAAGGTGAGAGAGTTTTCAACACTGGGATGAGCTAGAAAAGAAGTCCTGGAGGGTCTTAGGGGGAGCTTGGTCAATGTGGGCATCTGTGCTTGCTTACTGGTACTTATTGAAGTTAGGCTCCTACCCTCCCTTAGTGAGGGAGAGAATAGGAGCCCTATATTTCTTGATAACTCCATTTCAAAAGGACAGCCCTCAGGTCCTTGAGAAAAACATTCCTGTATTGCAGAACTGGCAAGAGATTGAGAGATTTACATTTCATAAGAACAGAGAAAGAATTTACAAGTTTTCTGAAGTAAATATTCTAAGAAAAGGGAGGTCAGAGGCCTATAGTCAGGAAGAAGCCTGTCTAAAATTTAGTCAAACTCTGGGGAATGTTAAGGCCATTTGGATCAACATAAATAGGTGTTCATCAACATATACAAAGTATTCATAATAATTGTGTCTTCAGCTAATATTGATAAATGGCTTTAAGTTTTTCTTTTGAGTCTGTCTTACAATGTTATAATTATTGTAGCTTATCAGATGAAATAATCTCTTACAGCATTATGAAGTTTCCTTCCCTCCATTCCAGAGATTATTATTCAGTGAGAACTCTTTGTTAGACAATACCCTCATCTTCTTAACTAACCAAAAGGGCCAATTTTGGAGTGGGAACTTCAGATCTTCTTTATGAAACATCTATAAATGGAAAGGATATTTCAGAAACCTAAAAATTTAAACACTTCACAAAATAGCATTTGTTATGGTATTCAGTAGCTGTGTTCCTGTAAGTCTTGAATATAGAAATTCTGACAATTTAATCATTGTAAATCTTCCATAGAATTTATTCATTCAATAAATACATATTAAGTTTATTACCAACTATATGTCAGTCACACTTCTACTTCCAGGCACTGAGGATTTATCAATAAAATGAAAATGCCTGCCTTACTAGAGCTTACATTCCAGGTGGGCAGAGGGGAAAAAGACAGTAATCAATAAAGTTAATACCTAAGTAAATTATATAGGGAATTAATGTTGAGTACTAGGTCAAGGTAAAAGGAATTGAGAGGGCAAGGAGTAGGATAGGGACAGATTATAGTTCTAAATAGGGTTTGTGAGGCAGGTCTTATTGAGAAGGTAATGCTGGACAAAATGTCAAAAGAGGTAAGGGAGTTAACTCTGCAATATCTGAGGAAACAGTGTTGTAAGCAGAGAAAACAGTAGCCCCGTGTCCCAAAGATGGGATCATACCTGGTATTCCTGGAACAGCAGTGGTTCATTTCAACATAGCTACAGCCCAGCGAGAAAGAGCGGGGAGTAGTAAAGTTAGAAAGGGGGCAGTGAGTCCTGTGCTTTAAAGGGTCCCATAGACCCTAGAGGGCAACGTCAAAGCAAGGGAAATTGTTAGCTGGTCATTGAGGTAAATCAACTTTTAAAGCAATTATGTATTATAAGAGCAAATAATATTTTGTACATGGATTACTTCTTAAACTATATGTTTATTCGTTTGGGTTTTGGTAAATTATATATTTGTATAGAAGCTTATCTGTATGGTATTGAGGAAACTAGATATCCACTTATCTGATAAAGGATTAATATTAAAAATATATGAGGAACTCATAATTATATAGCAAAATAACAAATAACTAGGTTTTTAAGATTTGGAAAAGGATCTGAAAAGAATGAAATCAGACTCTTATCTTATGTCACATACAAAAATCAACTCAAAATGGACTAAAGACCTAAACCTAAGACCTGAAACTACAAAACCCCTTGAAGAAAATGTAGGGGAAAAGCTTTTTGACCTTGAACTTGGCAATGAATTTTTGGATACCACACTAAAAGCTCTGATAACCAAACCAAGTGGGACTATATCAAATTAAAAGCTTCTACAAAAGAAAGGAAACAATGTAATGAAAATGGAGCCTACAGGTTGGAAGAAAATATTTGCAAACCACTTATCTGATAAGAGATTAATATTAAAAATATATAAAGAACTCATATAATTATATAGCAAAATAACAAATAACTAGATTTTTAAAATTTGGAAAAGGATCTGAATAGACATTTCTCCAAAAAAGACATTAAAGTAGACAAGGAGTATATTAAAAAGTGTTCAGCATCACTAATCATCAGGAAAATGAAAATTAAAACCACAGGGAAACATCACCTCATACCTGTTAGGATGGCTATTACCAAAAAGATAGGCAATAACAAATGTTGGCAATAATGTGAAGAGAACCCTTTTATATTGTTGGTAGAAATGTAAATTGGTGTAGGAATTATGAAAAACAGTAAGGAGATTCCTCAAAAAATTAAAAATAGAACTACCATATGACCCGGCAATCCATCTTCTGAGTATATAGCCAAAGGAAATGAAATCAGCACCTTGTAGAGATATCTGTACTTGCATGTTGATTGTGGCATTATTCACTGTAGCTAAGACATGGAAACAACCTAAGTGTCTGTTGATTGATAAAAGGATAAATTGTGATGTGTGTGTGTGTGTGTTATAAAATAATACTGTTCAACCTTAAAACAGAAAGGGATCCTGCCATTTGTGACAACATGGATGAAACTGGAAGGCATTACGCTAAGTGAAATAAGCCAGACATAGAAAAAACTACTGCATTGTGTTAGTCTGTTCTCACATTGCTATAAAGAACTGCCGAGATTGGGTAATTTATCAAGAAAAAAGGTTTAATTGGTTTGCAGTTTCACAGGCTGTACAGGAAACATGGCTAGGGAGGCCTCAAGAAATTTACAACCATGGTAGAGGGTGAGGAAGAAGGAGGCATGTCTTATGTGGCTGGCCAGGAGGAAGAGAGAGAAGGGGGAGGTGCCACACACTTTTAAACAACCAGATCACCTGAGAACTTACTCACTATCATGAGAACAGCAAGGAGGAATCTGCTACCATGATCCAATCACCTCCTAACAGGCCCCTCTCTAACACTGTGGTTTATAATTCAACATGAGATTTGGGTGAGGACACAGAGCCAAACCATATCATACATCATCTCATTTACATGTGAAATCTATTTTTTTAAGTTGACCACATAGAAACAGAATAAATTACTAAGAGTGGGGTGGGGGAAATGGGGAGACATAGGTCAAAGGGCATATGATGCAAATATGTAGGATGAATAGGTCTAGACTTCTAATGTACAACATGAGGACTATGATAACAATATTGTATAAATACTGAAAATTTGCTAAAATAATAGATTTTAGGTACTCATCACAAAAGAATTGATAACTATGCAAGGTAATGGAGGTGTTAATTTGCTTGACTATAGTGCCTACTTCACTGTGTATATCAAAACATCATGTTGTACACCTTAAATATATATAATAAAAAGAATGCTAATAAAAAGAAAGACTTAGAAAAAAAAGAGCTCACTGGTGATGTCAGGGTTTTGATTAAAGGAGAAAGTTAACTCTAAATGAGACAAAATCAATCACTCAAATAATAATAATAAACAATCCACTTATAGAAAAAAACAGATTTTAGTAAATTCTTCTACTTTTTAACTAATCGATTTGTCATCCTATCATCAGTCAGACAGATGATAGGATGGTACCTATCATCCTAGGTTCCTATGATCCTTCAGAGGTACCTATCATCCTTGGTACCTATGAAAGTTATATGTACCTGAGTTTCCCAAAAAAGGCTCAAGAATAGCTTTTTTTTTTTTTTTAAAGTAACCCTATGCTGTTATCCCAGAAAAAATACAAAGCTACTGATCTATAGCAGAGGCATCATTGTTATCCAGATATTGGGAGAGAAATGCTCAGTACTTGCTGATGCCCACCCTATCCACGCTTTTTGACTTCATAATATGACACCTAATTCTAAATTCATATCTATTATTTATTTTTATTAGTAATGGAAGAATATTCTTCTGATATTCAAGCACATTAATTCCAGAGCCTCTTGTGAAATCAGAAGGATGTATTTACATGAATCTCATGGGATCTACCAACATCCATTTCAATGACACCACTGGACAAGACATCAGTTTATAGTAGAAATGTGCGATGGAATGAAAATGAAGATTATCCTCTTGCACTTTGCTGGTTTTAATTACCTTAGAAACCAAAAAAGGAACAGAAACAATTTTCATATTAATACAATAATTTGTTGTCTGTATCTCAAGGAAGCTATTTTAACCAAAAAATATATAAATATATAAAATCATAAGAAATGTCCTCACTCAGTTAATATCAAATATTCTGTTGTGTCTACTGTTTGAGTGGTTCAAAAATTATCTTATTATGTAAAGAGAAAATTGTAAGTTTTCAGTTCCAGCTTTATCAATTTCAAGTGTAGAGCTTTTTTCCTTTAGCTCTGATTTATTTCAGGTAAAATACCTCTGCTTTAGATACTTAAAAATATGACTTTTGTAATATCCTAAAATTAGACTTTGATATCCAAATAATGTGATATTTAAAAGTCCAATATTTTTGCTTCATGACTTCATCATTCTATATACAGAAATTTGTTGCTGTTTTAATATTTAAATCCTTTAACTCTCTGGAATGGTGGTCCTTAATCTTCAGTGTACATGTGAATCACCTGAAGAACATGTTTAAATGTGGCTTATCCCCTACACCAAGGAATGATAAGACTGACGAAGAACCCAGGGAGCTATATTTTTAACAAGATCTCCCTTGATTCTAATGTAGTTCCACACACTAAGAACAATAGTTTTAAAAGATAAACTTTGTGTATTTTATGTGTATTATAAAAGCATAATACACATAAAATAAAATGTACATGTTTTAATTATACAGCCCAATGAGTTCTGAAAAATGTATAAACTAAGGTAATATACCATCTGATATGGTTTGACTCCGTGTCCCACCCAAATCTCATCACAATTTGTAATCCCCACGTGTCAAAGTAGGGACCTTGTGGGAGGTGATTGGGTCATGGAGGTGGTTATCCCCATGCTGTTCTCGTGATAGTGAGGGAGTTCTCATGAGATCTAAGGATTTAAAAGTGGCAGTTTCTCCTGCACTTTCTCTGTCTCCTGCTGCCTTGTGAAGAAGGTGCCTGCTTCCCCTTCACCTTCCAGCATGATTATAAGTTTCCTGAGGCCTCCTCAGCCATGCAGAACTGTGAGTTAATTAAACTCCCTTTGTTTATAAATTACCCAGTCTCAGGTATTTCTTTATAGCAGTGTGAAAATGGACTAATACGCCAACCTAATCAAAATATAGAATATTTATATCACCCTAAAAATTACCTTGTACTCCATCCCTGACAACCAAAGATCTGATTTCCATCACTATAAATTAATTTTGCTTTTTTTCTAAAACATCACATGAATGGAATCATACAGTATGTACTCTTGTGTCTACTTTCTCATTCAGCATAATTTTGAAGTTCATCCATGTTATTGTGTGTATTTGTAGTTTTTTCCTTTTTATTGCTAAGTTCATTATCTCAATATACCACAATTTGTTTATCCATTTATCTGGTGATGGACATTTTTGTTGTTTTACTTTTAGTGTATTATGACTAAAACTACTATGAACATTTGTGTGTAAGTCTGCGTGGATGTAAGTTTTTTTTTTCTCTTGGGTAAATACCCAGGAGTGAATTCTGCCAAATGGTAAATATATGGCTACCTTTATTAGAAACTGGGAAGCTGTTATTCAAAGTGGTTGCATCCTTTAACATTCCTACTGGCAAAATATGGGAGATTCAGTTGTTCCATATCCTCTACCAATGCTTGGGAGTTAGTCTTTTTAATTAGCCATTATAGTGTAGATAAAGACGGGGTATAATATTTTGGTTTCAATTTTCACTTCTCTGACTAACGGTGTTAAACATCTTTTTATGTGTTTATTAGTGATTTGCGTATCTTCTTTTTTGAAGTGCCCATCCAAGTCTTCTTTTCATGTTTTAATAGAGTTGTCAAACTCATTGCATTGTAGGAGTTCTTTATGTATCCTGAATGCAAGTTCTTTGTCAGATACACATATATCAAATTCTAAAAATAACCTGTTTCTATTTTCATTTTCCTGATGTCATAAAGAGCAGAAGTTATTAATTTCGATGAAATCCAACTTGTCACTTTTTTCTTTAATGCTTAATATTTTTCTTTAGGTATAATCTAAGAAATATTTGCCTAACACCAAAGGTATGATTTTCTCCAATGTTTATACCTAGAAGTTTTGTGGTTCTGTTGTGTAAATTGTGATCTACTGTCTATTATAGATTAATTTTTGAGTTTGACGTAGGGCAGGGATTGAGGTTCACTTTGTTCTAGTCACACTTCCATTTCTCCAGCACCATTTGTTGAGAAAACACTAAATTTCCAATGTTGAGCTGCCTTAACATCTTTGTAAAAAAATGTAGTTTGACTGTATATATGTGAGTCTATATCTGAACTCTCTGTTCTATTGAACTATGTCTTTTCTTATAGCCATATCATGATATCTTGAATACCAAGTCTTGAAATCAATGTAAGCTCTTCAACTTTGTTCTTGTTCAAGATTTTTTTGCTATCTTAGCCCCTTCATATTTTAGATCACTTTGTCAATTTTAAAAAGCTAATGGGATTTTAAACAAGGTGACATGGAATTTATAGATCAATTTGCAGAAAATAGACACCATAAAAATTCGTAAACTTTATGTATCTTTTAAATACATATCTTTCACCTATCTGTTCCTTAGTTCTCACAGTAGCTTTTGTTTTGTTTTGTTTTCCAGTATAGTGATTTATAGATTTTAGTTAAAATTTTTTAACATAAATATTTTAAATATAAGATACTATTGAAAATGGTATTTAGTTACATTTTCTAATTGTTTGCTGCTAGTCTGTAAAAACACAACTAATGTTTTATATTGATTACATAACCTATGGCATTGTTATATTCACTTATAAATATTAGTAGCTTTTTTTGAGATTCTTTAGGAAATTTTATTTAGATGATTATTTTGTTTAAATAAATGGTTTTTGTTATGAATAAAAGTTCTCATTTTCCAGTTTTTATGGTTTTAACTTCTCTTTCTTCCTTTATTGTACTGAATGGGACTTCCAATATAACATTTGTTACAGAGTAGATGTCTTTGGCTTGCCTCTTAGGGAAAAATATGTGATATCTCAGCTTTACATATGATACTAGCTACATTTTTTCTAGTTTTCTGAAAAAAATGTATGATGAATGAATTTTTTTAAGTGTTTTTTTCCATACATGTTGAAATAATGCGGTGTTTTTACATTTATTCTGTTATGTGGTTAATTATATTGCTGGATATTCCAATTTTGACATAACCATGTTTTCACAGAATAAATTCCACTTGCTCAAGGTATGTTATTCGTTTTACATATTTATCTAATTGATAATGATAGTTTGCTGAGAGTTTTTGAGACCATGTTCATGGAGAGGATAATTTTCTTTCCTTACAATATTTTTGTCTAGTTTTGGTATCATGGTTATTCTGGCTTCTTAAAATGATTTGATAATATTTCCCTATGTTCTAAGATTTTATTAATTTTAACACTTTTAAAAATGTTAAACCTTTAAGTTAAAGGCTTAATTTAATTCTTAATTGAAAATTTAAATTCTTTAACTGAGGTTTAACGTATTAACCTCATTTATGAGTGAGATTAAGGTATTTCTTCTTTAAATCTTTAACAGAATTTACTAGCAAAACCATTTGGCCTTGAGTTTTATTTGTGACAAGATTTCTGATTATGAAGTAATTATCATTGATAGATTCTGGCCTAGTCATATTTTTCCAAGGAATTTGTTTATTTCATTTATGATAGTGAATGTTTTGGCATATATATTTTCAAAATATTTTACTGTTACTTATGTAATATATTTAAGATGTGTAGTGATATCACCTCTTTCATTTATTCCTAATCTGTGTTTCTTTCCTCTTATGCTTGATTATTCCTGCTAGATTATAAACTTTATTACTATTTTTAAATAACTAATGTTTAACTCTTTTCATCTTCATATTATCAGTCTGTTTCAATTTAATTGATTCATGATATTATCTTTTTTATTTTCTTTCTTCCAATAACTTATGGCTTAATTTGCTTTATCCCCACTCTAACTTTGTAAAGTGGAAAACTTGATAATTAACTTCAAATGTTCTTTTTTTCTAAGACAGGGTCTCACTCTATTGCCCAGGCTGGAGTGTGGTGGTGCAATCTTGGCTCACTACAACCTCTGCTTCCTGGGTTCAAGTGATTCTCCTGCCTCAGCCTCCTGAGCAGCTAGGATTACAGGCGTGCATCACCAAGCCTGGCTATTTTTTTATTTTTAGTAGAAACGGGGTTTCACCGTATTGTCCAGGGTGGTCTTGAAGTCCTGACCTCAAGTGATCAGACTGCCTCGGCCTCCCAAAGTGCTGGGATTACAGGTGTGAGCCACCAAACCCGGCCAAATGTTCTTTTATAATATAACTGTAAAAGTAAAAAAATTCATTTCAAACATAGGTTTAGCTGTATTCATCCTTCAAATTTTAACAGGATGTGATTTTATTATCATTTACTTCAAAATATTTTAAAATTTTCTTTGTAATATCTTCTTCATCCCATAGCTTATTTAGATTTATGTTATTTAATTTTGATTTTTTTGTTTTTATGTATTTTATTATCATTCACTTCTAGTTTAGTTCTGTTGGGGTAAGATAAAATACTCTAAGATTTTCATCTTTCGAAGTTCCCAGAGACTTAGGCCTAGAGTATGGTCTATCTTGTAAAGTATTCCATATGCACTTGGAAAAAAAAATTATTAATTCTTGGGTACCAGAGTTTTCTACAAAATTGGTTAAGGTTGTTGTATTAGGGTTCTCTAGTGGGACAGAATTAGTGGAATATATGTACATATACATATATACATATACATATATATACACATACACATATACATATGTGTGTGTGCGTGTGTGTGTGTGTATATATATATGGAGTTTATTAAGTATTAACTCACACAATCAGAAGGTCCCATAATAGGCTGTCTGCAGGCTAAGGAGCAAGGAGAGCCAGTCAGAGTTCCAAAACTGAAGAACTTGGAGTGTGATGTTTGAGGGCAGAGGGCATCCAGAATGGGAGGAAGATGTAGGCTAGGAGGCTAGGCCAGTATCTCTTTTCATATTTTTCTGCCTGCTTATATTCTAGCCACACTGGCAGCTGATTAGATTGTGCCCACCCAGATTAAGGGTGGGTCTGCCTTTCCAAGCCCACTAACTCAAATGTTAATCTCCTTTGGCAACACCCTCACAGACATATCCAGGATCAATACTTTATTCTTCAATTCAATCAAGTTGACACTGAGTATTAACCATCACAGCTGTATTGCTTGCCAGTGTAATACATTTACTTACTCTTTTTTCATTTGTTTATTCTATGAGAGAGGGGTGTTAAAATGTATGATTGTGGATTTGTCTATTTCTCCCTTTAGTTCTGTCAGATTTTACTTCATCTAATTCATCATCTGTCATCAGGTACGTACATATTTTGGCTGTTACGTCTTCTTGATAAATAATTTTTTTGTTATTATATAATGTCTCTAGTAATATACTTTGTTTTGAATTCTACAATTTTTATATTAATATAGCCAGCCATACTTGCTTTTGTAATGTATGGCATTTATTTTTCCACTTTTTTGAATTTTCATCCTTTGCATCTTTATTATTTTAACTGAGTATCATATATACAGCATATAGTTCGATCTTGTTTTTATAGTTAGATTTTTTTACCTACTCTAATAATGTCTGACATTGAAATATTTTTATTCACTTTTATTATAATTATTTATGTAGTTAGATTTTTAAAAAATGTTTTGTTAGAGATGATTTGTAAAAATTTCAAGGAAATCCCAAGCCCTTATAACTTGGCAGGTCAGATTTTTACCTCTGCCTTCAATGCAGTCATTGTCAAGCCTGGTTTTAGAATTTGTTATAGTGGGTCTGGAATAGTCCTTACTCTGGGAGCACCTAAATCTAAATCTTGGCTTTTCTGGCATCTTAACTGGCTGCTTGAAATTTTAAAAGTCTTTCCCCGGTGGGTAGACTAGGACTTTAAAAATCCCCTGGCATTGTCTTACCTTAGTATCCCCATTCTATACTCAACCTAATAGTGGCTGCTTGCTAGTAAACCTTGTGTAGTCTTGTCTTGTTCACATCAAGTCTAACTCTTGTCTAAGGACTGTGAGAAGTCTCAAACAGACTTCTGGTCCCCCTCCACCCCTGTGCTGCCACTTTCTAACTGGTGTCTGCTTTGCTGAATCTAGGTATTTTATCAGCTCCAAGGTGTGATTTCTGTCTCTTTAACCTGTCAGGACACGAGCTCCATAGTCCTATGCCATGATGCATATACTATCTAGATGCAGAGAGCAGAGGAAATATGGGGCTTAGGGATCATAGTCCTGTACAGCTTATTGTTAAATATATAAAAACATTTATCTCATATATAGCACAGTTTTATTGCTGTTTATGGAAGAAAGGCTAGACTAGTGCTCTCTCTCAGAACAAAGTAGAAGATGTCTGAGAACAGTAATTTTTAACCTTATTTTAGGGCACTTTAATAATATACTGAAAGCTACAGACTGTTTCCTCAGCATTAACAGTTAAATTATTTAGATTGTTTATAGCTGATATTTTTACCTCATTGTTTAGGGGAAGGTGATGGGAGCAGAAGAATTGGAAGGAGTGCTTAATTTTACTTACATCTTAAACAATTTAAATAAAGTGCAATTTGGTGGATACAGTTTCCTGAGATTGTCATTATGCATCATATTCCTAGTTACTTAAAAAGGACTTTATCACATTTATATACAGCCATCTTTGTCAAATATTTATATTGCAACCTTTGTTTTCTTTTTTTTTGTACTTTTAAAAAATACATTTAATCATTTTATTACTGTTAAGGAAAAGAGCCAAACTCTGTAAAATATTTTAAGAGATTTATTCTCAGCCGAATATGAGTGACCGTGGCCATGACATAGCCCTTAGGAGATCCTGAGAACATATGCCTAAGGTCGTCAGGGTACAGCTTGGTTTTATATATTTTGGGGAGGCATGAGACATCAATCAAATACATTTAAGAAATACATCAGTTTGGTTCAGAAAGTCGGGACACATTGAAGCGGGGGGTTCCAGGCTATAGGTAAATTCAGACATCTTTTGATTGACAATTGGTTGAGTTTATTTGAAGACCTGGGATGAAAGGAAATGTTCAGGATAAGATAAAGGATTGTGGAGACCAAGTTTTATTGTGCAGAGGAAGCTCTCAGACTTCAGAGAGAGCAAGTTGTAAAATATCTCTTATCAGACTTACAAGGATGCCTGGCTCTTAAGTGATTATCTCTTGGATCCAGAAAGGAAGGAAAGAAAACACAGGGGAAAGGGGATTCTCTATAGAACGTGAATTTTTCCCATAAGAGTCTTTGCAGGGTAATTTTAAGTATGGATGAGAAACATGTTTTGGGGTAAAACATTTTGATTTTCCTCCTCATTATGCCAGAGTCAGATTGGAAAGTAAGTCACAATATTCAGGGTTAAATAAAACCCATCTGATGAGAACTTATGGTTTGTAGGGCATGACTCCCCAGACCAGTTAGATAGGAATCTGGACAAGATAAATATGTATATATATCTGAGCTTAGTCCTCATTACTGTTAGCACAGAGGGAGAGACAAGAAGGAAGATGAAATGAGAGGGTGGCTCAACAGTTGAGACAGGTTTATTAAGAGTAAACCTGATAAGGGCTTCTGGCCGGCAGGGTCAGGAGCAAACTTCTCTTACAGTCTGATCCTTTTTAAAAAGGGCCCAGTGGGGGAAGTGTGCTCTAAAAGAGGTTCCTATCAAGGAGAGGTTGGGAAAGTGTTGGCTGGACTTCAGTAAGCTTTGTTGTGATTAGGGTCATTATGTTATGTTGAAGATATGCTCAGGGTTGACATTTGTGATTTGATCAGGTGGCAATGGACAGTTCTGAAAAATAAAAGCCTGATACTTTAAGATGGTGGGCTCTTGTTAAGATGGTGGTCTCTTATCCTATCAATTACCATGGATCATTCTGAGTCTTCTTTTAGGTAGATCTGTAGTATATAGTTATAATGAGACTTTCTTGTATTTCTTTATCCATTCCATTTAATATGTGAGTTTATTACATTTAGATCAATCTTTGAAACAATATTTTCATTTCACTTCTGCTATCTTATTTTTTGTTATTTTTGTGTGTATAAGGGTTTGTTTCTTACATTATTATCTATGCTTAGTTATTTTGAGTAATTAGGAAAAGGTGTAGTTCTGTTTTTAATTCTAGTAGAGGTTATTGTTATAAACTTAAGTAATAATGTAAGATTTATATTTCTTAGTCTATCACCCTCAGAAATGAGGTAATATCTAATGAACACTCACTATGAAATATGAACAAATTAGTACATTTACAGTCATGTTTACATCCTCCCTCTTTCTTCTCTGTTTTCCAAGTTGTGTTAATTTGCTCTGAGATTTTTTCCTCCCAATCCATTTTAACAAACATATTACAATTGGTCACATGGTTGCTTCAGTGATAGCCTTAGGTCCATGTTTAAGAAGATCCAATGAGTCCTGATACTCTTTCATCCCATACCTCATGGTTGGTTAATTTACACCCCCAAGGTAAATTGAGAAGTTAGTCTACTCTGGGCAATGTGCCAGGAACTAGGGATCAGCAATAGGTAGGGTAGCAACGAAGTACTCTGACAGCAGCTCTCAGTGTAGTAACTGGAACTTCCAAATTAGGAAAGAAAAGTTACTTTACTTTTCTTACAGTTTCAATAATGTCCATTAAAAAATCTCATTCTTTTACTTTTTGTTGAGATCTCACTTGATAGTAGGGAACACTATGGGCACTCCAGTCTCATTATTTTATTTATGTTTCCAGGCATGCATGCTTGATGTTTTAAATTTCTATTCTATTTAATTCTCATTGCTTCACAAGCATCATCGTCAGTTTACCTCTGAGTAAAGAATTACCCTGTCTCGTCTGTTTCATTCACCCTCACATATTTGTTTTGAACATTTGGATTTGTGCTTGTTCAATGGTGTGTGAGTTTGAAATGCCAGGGGAAATAATTGGACAATGCAACCCACTCAAAGTTTAAAAGCTTAATTATGTGTCTAATGTTATTTCAGTTGTCAGAAGCCCATTTTGTTGAATCCCAGAAAATTAACAGGAAGTTCCTGTTTCTTGAAAACTATCCTGGCAATAAATTCTTAAAGCATTGTCTCAACTTATTTCCTTACAGTTCCCTTTCCATTCACAAATCATTACCACTGCCTTCCCAAGCTATTTTGTGAGAAGGGATTCCCTGAGACATGGATTTATTTTTTTAATGGGTATCTACATCGTCAAATGAGAGTAAAAGGGAAGTTCTAAATGGTAGGAAACTGTTTCACTTCTTAACCAGGAGTCCCTACTTTTCAATGGAGAGCTATGAAATTATTTTACTAATTTATATCTTGGGGAAAAGAAAGGAGGAGATGGAAAGTTCACAGCAGTTATCTTCAAATCACCCTCCTGATATTTCATGGGAATATCAAGGTCTGAGTAAGCTCACTTGCAAAGACATCTTGAAGGAAGTGTCACATACGCTGCCTTCAGTAAACTACATATGTATATAAAGTTCCACATACAAGTATCTTGATAAAAACTTCATTTTGCATTTGTGAAATCTTCACATTAATATAAATTGTTTTACTACATCATATGAAATATAATACAAGTAGCTTCATTGAGCCTATCTTTTTCCAAACTTAGTTGACTTCATTTCTCCACAAATACCCAGTAACATTTTGTTGTTGTTCTAGAAAACACAGTTTGGGGAACCTTGCCTTACGGAAATGCTTTCAATGAAATCTATGGCTTTGAGATTTGAGTTAATAGTTTAAAAGGAATGAAGTAGGTGGCAGGAAACACCTTTTATTTTACACTAAATTCTTGACCAACTGGCACATACAAACACAAAAAAATTCATATAGAAATAATGTTTCATTTAAAAATTATGTTTCAAGGTTTAACCGCTTGCCCACTGTCACACAGCCAATGTATGGCCAAGAAAGAAGCTAAACCCAGGTGGTCAGGCTCCAGATTCCACCACTGTACTCTGACTAGGCATAGAATTTTTACCAAAACATTTGGGAGGCTGAGCAGGCAGATCACTTGAGATCAGGAGTTTGAGACCAGCCTGGCCAACATGGCGAAACCCCGTCTCTACTAAAAATACAAAAATTAGCTGGGTGTTGTGGCACATGCCTGTAATCCCAGCTACTCAGGAGGCTGAGGCAGGAGAATCAACTTGAACCCAGGAGGCAGAGGTTGCAGTGAGCCGAAATTGTGCCACTGCACTCCAGCCTGGGTGACAGAGTGAGACTCAGTCTCAGAAAAAGAATTTTTACCAAAACAATAGTCATTTTCTTAAAAAAAAAATAATAAAAGGAAAAAAAGGCCGCCAACAAAAATAAATGAGTAAATAAAAATTCTGTTTCTAGTCTTAGGCTCAACTGTAGAAGCAAGATGAGTATGTGGCTTCTTATCCCCAAAATATTAGCCATAAGACCTTATCATTTCCAAATATTAATACCATCCCATATTATTTAAATGCTTAAAAAAGTAACCCCATTTATAATATTTAAACTGAAATATTATTGCAAGTAAGTTTACTCTAAAGGAGTGATTGTTTAAAACATTCTTATTTCTAAAGAGATTACTTAAATCAAGAGGTAGAATTGAGCACATGGTGAGATCATGAAGAACATGAGCAACTCTACTGGGGCTTGAAAGTGGAAATTTGAAATTGCCGCAAGACAGAGGTTGAAGGATTGCTATATTGATAAACTTTCCTAATCGCACAATTGCCCAATTCTACTGAAATAGAGTAGGTCTATTACCTACTCTAGCTACACTATGCAAAATTGTACCCAAATGCAGATTTTAAAAGGAATTTCCAAAAATTATGTTCCAATTATTATTAACAGTATGGTACACTAGACCTATCTCATCGTACCCTTGCCAACATAAAATATTCGATTTTTTTATCTTTGCTAGTTTTATGTAGAAAAATATTTTATTATTTTTCATTAAAAGTTCTTTATTATGAGATTAAATATATTTAATTTTTCCGTGAATTATCTCTTTATATATTCTCATGAAATATATTAATAGGGATAGGAGGCAGATAAATTCTATGCAGAAAAGGGCGGGTTCCCTGATGAAGCCCCGAGCCTCAAGCCGAAAAGCCTGAGACCCTGGCATTAAGTGAGAACTTATATCCCTCTTTCCAGCTTGAATGTTGCCTTTTCCTAAACCACCCATAGCTCTGCGCCATCCCATCCTATACCTATAAAGGCCACAGACTCAGCCAGCAGAGGGGAGAAGCGGCTGGACATCAAGGACCATGGCTAGACACCAGAAAGAAGCTGCTTGACAGAGTAACTTCGGAGAAGAATCTGGCCGGAGACGGCCGGATTTCAGGGGAAGATTACCTTGTCGCCTTGTCCTTTATTCAGTCCCTCTTTCTGCGGAGAGCCACTTTCATTGGCAATAAAATCCCCCGCATTTACCATCCTTCAATTCGTTCACGTGACTTCATTTTTTCTGGACCCTGGACAAGAGCTCGGGAGCCGAGAGTGCAGATGCAAAAAGGCCCACTGAGCTGTTTACACTGAAGCCATTCGCAGATGTCAGAGCTAAAAGAGAACTGTAACATGCCCTCTGGGGCTTCATGGGTGGCAGGTACCCTCCCAGATGGTGCCGTGGGGCCTGCATGGAGTTTGCTCCTGCTGGCGCCTCAAAGCACTGGCCCTGGCTCCAGCACCCATTCACCTCCCGCGAAGGGTGGAACGCAGCGAATCTGAGTGAGTGCAGTTTGCTCCGGCCGGTGCCGAAGCAGCTAACTGGTTCCAGAGCTCATGTACTCCAGTTCCTGCCTCATTTACTCGTGTACTCCCTACTGTGAGGAGTTGAGAGCAGCGGGATGAGTAAATGGGGCACTCTTGTCACGAGTCCTGAGAAGGGGTCAGGGAAATATCATGCTTCAATATAGACTATTTGGGCCTAATGATTTAAACTATAATAATTCTGGCTTTTGCCTCATTTCCTTTCAATTATTTGCTTTATGAACATATTCAGTGAGGTTGACTTACAAACGAAACCAGTTTATTGTCTCAGTAACCAGGGAATGTGATTTGATGATAAATGTGATTTGCCCAAAACTGAGATGAGACTACAGCGAGATTGTTTATATATTTTATCTACCTTGTTGTTTTTAAGATGATTAAATATTAAGAGTGTCAGAAAGAAAAGATATCTGTGATCACCTTTATTTGTTCACCTTTATTTGTTTAAAAGATCTGGTCATCGTGATATAACAAGAAAATAAAATTATATAGTTATTTGAAACAAGATAATATTTTAAAATGTAGACATTTGTGTTAAATTATGAACATCAGTGGAAAATATTAGAAATAATAAGAATTATGTAAGATGACCAGTAGAAAAACGGAGAAAAATCAATTCTTCTTTATATATCTATAATAATGAATTTGAAATAAGATTAGGAAAAATCTCACGGTAGCTAGAAAAAACATATTGAACAAGATTAACAGTATGTAGGAACAGTGAAGAAAAGTCTGTAACTTTGCCAATAGACATTAATAAAGTTTTGAATTGAGGAGAACAATTATTTTGTGCAAGATATTTAAACGTATACTGAAATTATGCTGTGCAAGATATTGAACTATAAGACCAGAGTGACTAAAGTTATATGATAAAATAAAACAGAGAAAACTGACCATACATACCTATTTGTCACCTGTTTATAATATATATGAGCAGATATCGTGGAAGAAGATGCCGGTTACTCCACAAATAGAACTGGTATTAAAATAGAAAGCTTCTGTACATTAAAAAAGATACCTTAATTAAAATGAAAAGACAAGTTTCGGACTGGGAAAAAAATGTCTGTAACTGCTAAAACTAATCAAAATTTAGTGTGACAGTTTTAATACACACAACTCATATAAATCAGAAATAAAGTGACAAAGGAATAAAAATGGGAAAGGATATACAGTTTTTAGGAGTAGAAGGCTGAATGACCAATACATTTGTAAACAGATGCTCAGCATCACTTGTAGTCAGGTAACCAAAAATTAAAATATCATGTTGCAAAAAAATGAAAATGTTTGTCAATACTAAGCATTAGACAACCTTGAGAGCCCTGGGAGTCTCATATAAGTTTCCTTGTGAAAACTTTGTCAATATTCAGAAAAGTTAAAGAGGCACATATGGACTTGGTGACCCAAAAAACGTATACGTATGTGTGTACATATATAAAATATATATATGTCTTATGGAAGCTGAGTGATAAGATATGACTTGGATTTATAAGTATCACCTTTTATGGCCTTTTATGACTGCTATGTTTAGCCTGTAGGGAGGGAAGGACTGTCTCCTGGGGTACTTCAACATTGGGAAAGAGGTTTATAATTATATCTAGGTGACAGGATATCATGATTACTATTTTCTTGTTTATTTTCTAAATTAAAAAAATTTTGTAATAAAGCACATAACTACATAAGTTATAGACAATGGAAAAAAAATCAGTGTCTTCGGCCATCAATAAAACTTAAAAAATAGAAACATGATTGAACTTAAAACTATCCCTTTCCAAGGAGAAATAAATCTCAAATATTCTGATATAAATTATTCAGATAATATATATAATTATTTTAAAACATCTTCAAATAATGTTTAAAATTAATATGACTAGAGCTCCATAAATAGTAAGATATTCAAGTTTGTCAAGACTTTGGTGAACACATTCATTCAGGCTGACTAAGCACACTGAAATGCATTAATTTAGGCCCTGTAAAACTCAGTAATTATTTGATCATAAATTTGAGCCTAATATAGCCATGAAATATCTATGTTAATTTTTTTTCTGGGAGGATATAGATTTTAAATACAAATTATTCAAATTGTTTTTACTTAAAAAAAGATGCTTTTAATCTTTAAAATTGCTTTATTATATTTTGTAACTATTTAAATTTTCATATTTTATTATTCATCACTTTAAACTGAAGTGGCAAGTTAAAGGTAGTCTTAATAGGTGATAAAGTAACTGTAGCTAAAGTACAGGTACAGGCAATGAGGTTTGTGTAGTTCTTTCCAAGCAAAAGCAAGTCTCCAGGCCTGTGTTAACGCTGTCCTGTGAAACAGTTTCTTTTTTTGCATAGCAACAATTTTTGGTTTCACTTATAAACAGTTAGTTGAACGAGAACTGTTAGAAATAACTCCTAATGCGAAAAAATTTTTATTGACATTTACCATATGCTAGGCACTATCTTATTATCACAAACATGATGAGACAGGTGCTCTTATTAGATTTACAGGATAACACAGCTAGTATGCAGTATTGCCAGTGTGGAAATCCCTGCCTGCTACCCACTCTGCTACCCTCTGTTTGATGGTATTTCTTCTGGAAAGCCCCTTGTGTCTCTCTATACGGTCTCAACATCCCTCCTATTGAGGGTATAACATGATGACCTCTCATAACATTATGCATTTATTCTGTTCATAGCATTTAGCATAGGCTTGGAAGCCTATCAGCCTTCCAAGACAGCATCTGTATCTTACCCATCACTGTATTTCACAATCTAACATACATACTGGACAATGTAGATGATTTTTAAAATAGTGAAAAAATGACTAATCCTCTAAAATCTTTAGATATCTTGGATTGTGTATATCACAAGTTTTATATAAAAGAAAGCCTGTCTTTCCTCACAGAAGAGACACTGTTTATCATTTTCCTCCTTGTACTAAAATTTAGATGAAACCCTGGTGAATTATTATACATAGGAAACAAATTCTAATTTCTCAGTATTCAGGGAATATGTATTCAGTCTTATTCAAGGAAAGGCTCACTGGTAGAAACAGTTTTCATATAATGATTTATTAAAGTAAGGAGTTACCTGCAATTTTTAATAATGTGACCAAAGAAAAGGATCAAGCCAGGTGTGGTAGCTCACACCTGTAATCCCAGCACTTTGGGAGGCCAAGATGGGAGGATCACTTGAGCCCAGGAATTCAAGATCAGCCTCGGCAACACTAGGCGACATCACGAGACCCTGTCTCTACAAAAATAAAAACATTAGCTGGGCATAGTGATGTGCAGCTGATGCCCCCAGCTACTTGGGTAGTTGAGGCAGGAGGATCACTTAAGCCCAGGAGGTCGAGGCTGCAGTCAGTCATGCATGATCACACCACTGCACTCCAGCCTGGGCCATAGATCAAGACCCTGTCTCAAAAAAAAAAAAAAAAAATCGAGACTAATAATTGGATATAGTTGTTAAACAAATACTTTTGTTTTACACTGATAATATGTATGTGGCCACTTTTTGGACTTGCCCTGAATAGTCAAAATATTCCATACTAGAGATATGGAAAAGCATGAGGAGGAAGGAGAAAGAAATTAGGACTGTTGTAGTTGTTAAAGGAATTTGTGAGATATGGAAATGGGAAAGATAGAAATATTTAATAATATTAGTGGTTAAAATCTTCTATAAGCTTAGGCTGGGCATGGTGGCTCAAACCTTTAATCCCAGCACTTTGGGAGGTTGAGGCAGGTGGATCACTTGAGGTCAGGAGTTCAAGACCAGCCTGGCCAACATGGTGAAACCCCATCTGCACTAAAAATACAAAAATTAGCTGGGCATGGTGGCACATGCCTGTAATTCCAGCTGCTCAGGAGGCTGAGACATGAGAATTGCTTGAACCTAGGAGGCAGAGGTTGCAGTGAGCCCAAATGGTGGCACTGCAATGCAGCCTGGGTGACAGAGACCCCATCTAAAAGAAAAAAAAAATTATTTAGTATTTGCCAGGTATTTTACTAAGTGCTTAACATAAAATATAAGTTTTTGACTTCACAACTTATTTATGAGGCAGCGGATATTTCTATTCCTGATAATGTGAATAAGAATATTCACAGAGAAGCGTATTGAAGTGAAATGTCTTTTCCAAGATCAAAGAGCTTAACAAAAGAGATGTAATTGGAGCACAACTCATATGATTTAGAAAATAGGAAGGTTATTTATTTAATTACAGTTGTATAAGTATGTAAATTAATTTATACATAACTTTAAAACCCAAGTCATTTAACAAGGCATAAAACAAACAAACAAAAAATGCCATTATCTACTCTAAATCTGAAATCCTACTCCCAATCTCCAACTCTTCAATTCTTTTATCTGTATTATTTGGTCATGTACCTCAATATTTCCAAATAACAGAGGTTATATCACTATTTTTAATAAAACAAATTTACTGAGCTATAATTTATTATATCACACAACATGTGCAGTTTAATGAACTTAGATATGTGTGTACAGCCTTGGTCTCACCACCCTATTCAAGAGACAAAACACTGATTGCCCCTGGAAGTTCCTTGTGCTCTTTTCCAGTCAATTCTTCTACCCAACTCTGACCCAAGGCACTGATATCATTTTATTCAGCATAGAATTACATATTAGTTTTACTTGTTCTATATCTTCATACATAGCATGTCTTCTTTTGTTTCTCGCTTCTTTTGCTCAGCAAAATAATTTTGAGATTCGTTCATGCTGCTGAATGTATCAGCATTTTTTTCCTTTGTATAGAAGTGTCATATTTAGCTATGTGGATATGCTACAAGTTTTCAAATCAATTTTTCATTGGTGGATATTTGAGTTATTTCCGGTGTTTGACTAGTAGGACTAAACCTGCTATCAATATTTGTGCACAAGTCTTGTGTAGACATATGTATTCTTTTTTATTGTTTTTTTTTTTTTTTTTTGAGACGGAGTCTCGCTTTGTCGCCCAGGTTGGAGTGCAGTGGCGTGATCTCTGCTCACTGCAAGCTCTGCCTCCCGGGTTCACGCCATTCTTCTGCCTCAGCCTCCCAAGTAGCTGGGACTACAGGCGCCAGCCACCATGCCCGGCTAATTTTTTTGTATTTTTAGTAGAGATGGGATTTCACCGTGATCCACCCGCCTCAGCCTCCCAAAGTGCTGGCATTACAAGCGTGAGCTACCGTGCCCGGCCAACATATGTTTTCATTTATCTTTGTAGTGAAATGATTGGTCATGCAGTAGGTATACATTTAACTTGGTAAGAAACTGCCAAAACACTTTTAAAGTTGTACTATTTAAACTCTCGCTAATAGTGTATGAGAGTTCTCTAAAGCAGGTTCACTAATTACCAATCCCAAGGGTGCATCAAGAGTGGCAACATCATCATTGTGCCAACAACCAAGAGCAGAAGTTCAAATACTGTGCCTACTGCATCCTGGGCTACTGTTTAGGTCCACCATGCACTGGCTTCCAATTTGTCTAAGTCCTATGAGACAGAGCACATTCACACATAACAAGACATATGAGGTGGGCTTATTACTTACAGGTAGGCAAGGGAAGAAAGGAGTCTCAAGTCCACTGGGAGCCAGTCCTGAAGGCTCAAGAAAGCTACTTAGGGCAGATGGAGTGTTGACTTTGTGTGCCCTGCTTGCATCTCGGCTGAGTGACCCTAAAAAACAACCTGCCTTGGGTTTGATAGCTTTGGGGCAACATGAATCACTTGGCAACACTTTGAAGAACATCCTGCTTCCAGAGGAGTGAACACAAAGCCTTAGCTGTCTTGGGCAGTTTTTCCTTATCTCAAGATTTCTCAGCATGGTCAGGAACAAGACCTGAACTGTTTCAAGCAGTTTCCCCCAACTTATGATACTGCATTCCCAGCACATTCTACAGTTACTCTTGAGAACTACAAGCAAGAAAACGGGGAGAAATGGGTTGGTATAGGCACACGGAAGAACTGTCCTGCAAGTTCCAGTTCTATGTTATCACTAACACTTGTTTTTGTCAGCATTTTCAATTTTAGCCATTATCAAGAATGTATAGTCATATCTCAAGGTTTAATTTACATTTTCTTAGAAAGTAATGATTTTGAACATTTATTCATATGCTTATTGGTCATTCATATATTTTCTTTTGAGGAACAAAGCTTACTGATTTTGTTAAAGGCCAATTTATCATTTTAATTATTTTATGAGTGCTTTTTGTTTTCTGAGAAATCTTTGCCTAACTTAAGTCACAAAGATTCTCTACTATTTTTCTTTCAGAAGTTTTATAGTTTTAGGTTTATCATTTAAGGATGCGAGTCATTTCAAATTAATTTTTCAGCATAGTATGAGATATGATGAAGGACTATTTTTCTGTACTGATATTAAATTAACCCAGTACAACTTTTTTTTTTAAAGCCATCATTTCCATTAAATTATTTGGCACCTTTGTTAAAAATCAATTGACCATATACATGTGGGTCTCTATCTGGAGTCTCTTTTTTGATTCATGAATCTATTTAAATATTTTTGTGTGTATAGCACACTCTCTTAATTACTATATCTTTAAACGAGTCTTAGGTAGTATAAACTCTCCAGGTTTGTTAATCTTTTCAAAATTATTTTAACTATTCTAGGTCCCTTTGCCACTACTTTTTGATATTTCAGTTTTAGACATTATGTATTGACTACTTAATTATCAAGATGAAAATTTGGTAATTTATTCTTTTCCCCAATGTAATTAATTCATCAATTTTTTTGTTAAATTAATATTTAATTTATTGCTTAGTTATTGTAAGTGTGTTATATTATTTACAGATGATTCATGTGATGTACAATAATTTACATTATTTTTCTTTCAAAGAAAAATTTTACAAGGTACTTTTATTTTCCCTGGAGTTTTTATTTGCCTTATATTTCCATTTATTTAATCTCAGATGTAGCTATCTCAAATTCTTCCCTAACCCTATGCCAGAAATTTAAAACTTTTTGCGATATGTTCAAATATAGCCTTGGTACTCCACCACCTTCCTGTTCTAATTTTTAATGATTTTTCTCTAAGCTTGATATACAGTTCTCATCCCAGAATTTTTGATCCCCATAAACTCTGGAAATCTTCTTGATTTACCTCCTGTATTTGATAAGAGTTTTCAGTCTCCTGTATCTTATATCTTTTTTTTAACTTAGTATAGCCCATATCCTCCAGTGGCTAAATGAGAAATGTTTCACAGAAGCTACATTTTTTGAGGAATGTGTGCTTGAAAAAAATGTCCTCATTTTTCTCCTGACTGACCATGTGAGTGGATATAAAATCGTAGTATGATTTTCCCCCCTCAGAATTGCTTAGGTATTTGCTTCATTTTCTTCTAGCTCTCCATATTTCCACTGAGATCTGAATTCATCCTGAATCCAGATCTTTTTATAATTGTGTGTGCACACACATACATTTGAATGTTTTAAAGATTATTTCATTTCCATTTACCTGAAATTGCTTGATCTAATGCTTCATTGTGTCTCTATTTTATCTATAGTGGTAAATACTTTTGGTGCACTTTTAGTCTCATATGCATGCCCTTCAGTTTTGAGATATTTTCTGGTATTCTTAATATAATTATCTGATTTGTGTTTCTTTGTTATTTTCTGTTGGAATCCTATTACTCAATTATTGAATTACTTGGACAGATTTTCTAATTTTCTCATCTTTATTTTCCTATATTTTATATCTTGGCGATTTTATTTTAATTTCTGGATGTTTCCTCAAATTTATCTTCCAATTTTTCTTTTGTATATTTACTTTTCCCAGAGCTCTTTTTTTCTTGAAATTTCCTTTTAAATACATGCTGGGTTTATTTTGTTTAATGTATTAAATATTCTGATGATAATAATTTCAGTTTCAGTGTGGCATGAATTTTTCTTGCCTGGTGAATGCTTGATTATCCGTCGATATTTACAAAGTAGGTAGTAAAATGTTGTTTGGAGATTTTGTATGTAAATGAAGTTTGTTGCACAGCAGCTACACTAGTGAGGGATTTGCTGGGAATACAACCTTTCATTGGTGGTACACTCAAATGTTAATACTTAACTATTTTTTAGCCCTTCTGGGAGATATAAAACTGGTTGCCAACAATCATTCAGCTGACTGTGACAGTTTGAGCCAGGAGGTTGGAGTGTTTCATTTTTATATGTAGTCTTTTACATAACCCCTAAGTGTTTGCTATATTCTCTATACCCTCATCTGAGCTGGGTGGTCCCATGCCCAGAGTCCCCTCGGTTTGACAGACAGTAAATCCTCCATTTTATGCTGTGATGGAAATAAGGGTGGGAATGGGTAATAGTTGCTTTGCTGTGTGGTAGATGGGCAGGATCTAGGGTCTCCAATGATGTTCTTTATTGCCTATAAATATGGAATGATATGGTTTGGATGTTTCTCACCTTCAAATCTCTTGTTGAAATGTGATTCCCAATGTTGTTGGTAGGGTTTGGAGAGAAGTGAATTAATCATGGAGGTGAATCTCTCAAGAATGGCTTAGCACCACCCGCTTGGTGATCAGTGAGTTCTTGCTCTTAGTTCACTTGAGATTTGGTTCTTTAAAAAAGCTGGACCTCCTTCTCACACTGTCTCTTGCTCCCACTCTCACCATGTGACCAGCTGACACCCCTTGGCTTTCCACCATGATTGTAAGCTTCCTGAGGCCCTCGCCAGAAGCAGATGCCAGCACCACGCTTCCTGTGCAGCCTACAGAACTTTGAGCCCATTAAATCTCTTTTTTTACCCAGCCTCTGGTATTTCTTTATGTCAATGCAAGAATGGCCTAATATGCTCAGTAAATACTCATTGGACTGACTGATCTTGTCTTTCAACATTAGGGAACTGATTGCTGAACTGAGGAATAGATAATTTAGACCAAGAGTACAGGAAAAATTTAAGCAAAAATTGATACTGTTGAAAATGAAAGTTACCAAAATTGTTAGATCTCTGAAATTTCTAACTGTAACCTATTAGTGATTGTGAATAATATGATTTCTTCACAAAGCCTTTAAAAAAAAACCAGAAACATTACAGAATACATATCCACAATATTTAAAACTCTGCTGCCATATACAGAAAAATTAGAATTTTAACTGGACAATTTTGGAGGTGAAACTGTTTAGTTTTTGCAGGTAGAATTCTAAGTCTGTAGAAAAACAGTTTAATTTCCCTGAAAAGCTCATCATTTTTCTTCTCGAGTTTTTCATGTAGGCTATCTAGGTGAATATTAAAAGTATGAATAAAAATATTTTGTACCCATGATGCTACAGATTGGCATCTTCAAAAGATGAGAGATATTGCCAAGTCTATTGCTAATCAAGTTTCATAATTTACAACCTGTGCAAACTGTGGGCTGAGAACCACAGCAGTTGTGCTGAGCATTTCTGGGACGTTACCATCATCCCAGCACCAATTATTAAAATCTCTCGCACACATTAAAGCTATAAAGATTAAAAATATAGCACACTTGTCATTAAATATGGATGACTTCATGTAATATGCATTATATACAAAAACAATGTCCTGCCACTTGAGCTTTATCATCACCCTACGGAAAATCCACAAACCCAGAGTCCCACATCAAAGCTCATTTTGGCAAAGCCAAGGAACAACTTCCTCATGCAAAATAAACACAGATGTTCCACATTCAGGCAACTGGCTAAGAGGAGATAGTGCATAGGGGGATGCACAGCTCTGTAAAAGATAATGCCTCCTTGCATACCCTATGTTCTGTTCTGTAGAGGCTGCAGACGTTGTTTAAAAGGACCAATTCTGCTGTTTTAAACATTGTATTTCCTGACTGTAGAGCTGTGAACACGTTGAATTAGTTCAGTATGTATGCAGAGGTATGGGAACACTGAAGATGTCAGTTTGGATGTCTTTGAGGTTTCATGAAGAACTAAATTTCACATGCATCTTAAGCACTACCTTTTTTGTCAGTGATTTATTGATTTCTGGCTGTGAAGTATAATATTAATAGCTATATTAATTACAAGAAGGTCTGAGGAAGCAAAAGTTTCTAGCCTCTTCCATTAGCTGACAGTTAATGCTGCCAGGTTCCAAATGACCAGACAGCTGTAATTGACTTCCCTTTGTTTCTTTCATTCTCAGCTAATTGCAATGGAGTATCTTTGCTAAACATATATTCCTGGGGCTCAGATACATTTTTCCTAAAAATTAAAACACAGTTGCAAAAGATGAACAACACATGTTTAGAATTTTTGATATGCGTCCTAGAGTTGTGTCAATATTCAGTTATAGCCTAATTAAAATATCTATTCAAAATAGAGTTTCCCTCTTTCCTCATACTGTCATGTAATTGCCAAGGATAGGATAGGGTAGGATTAGAAAGAGAATAAAAGGATTTGAGTGTTAACTGTGTTTTCAGAAAAAAATATATTTTTTTTTCTGAAAGCCTCTGCCTTTAGTTTCAATATGAAATACATCAGAATCCCATGGAGATAAGAAGTTGTTAAAAGGACAACAAAGTCTTATATTTTTTCCAGCAATGTTGTCTTGATTCTAATGGGAAATGGATCCTGGCAGTCATATTTTAATTAGTAAAAACAAATCTGTAAAAAATGTCTTCGGAAATAAGTAAGCTCTTGAGAAGATGAAGTCTTGTTTATCATTTTCTACCATCTCATATTTTAAGTATTGTGCCTTAGGTGTGACAAGCAGAGTTTTTAGCCTCTGCCCTGTTTTCCTGTCATGCTACAAGTATTTGTGTTTACTTCTGCTCTCTTTATTGGAATGTCCTTTACATTTTTCTAACAGTGCACTCATTAATATTTTGAGCATACCTGTCAAATATGTATTTATTTATTGTTTTATGAGTTATATATCAGTACTATTAGACTAATATATACATTTAAGGTATGCTGAAAAATAAAAATTAAAGACAGATGAGGCAAAAATAAAGTTAAATATTTTAATTTTATTTTTTACTATTATTTCAAAAACCTTCTCATATTATAATTTTATTTTGGATTCCAAAATAAAAGACTGAGAGCAATGCAATCAATGTAACTAAATGTGCTTTTCAAATCTGTTTTAAACTTTATAATACAGAAATTCAAAGCTCTGGTTCTTAAGTATTATTTATTTCCACACATGGTTATAATAACTGTCATGGTCGAAAAAGAGACTTTATAGAAATATGTTGAGCCAAATGAGAGGAGACATTTTTGGTTGTGATTACTAAAACATCATGTAATTTTAAAATCCCATTCCCTGTTATAGTAAAACTATTTCTATTGAAATTTGACTAATAAATTTTCACCTTCTCTGATGTCAATCACTTTTCCTTGCAAAGTAATCAGAAAGTACTATATTAATGTTAACAAACTACTTCAAAAGCCACACTTTTTTTCTAAATTTAAAGCATGCCCAGATTAGAAAATATTATATATCTTTATTTATTTTGGGCTAAAACTAATCACTCAATAATGGGGACATTTTAAGATGCCTTCTCCACTGTCCAAGTTACTTTCTTAGTTGTTAAAGTGCTACCTTTACCTTGAAGGGATATGTTTGAAAATTTCCCCAAAATATCTGCTAGGTAGCATCCTCCTGTCAGCCACTTGTCATCACAGAAAAGGTCAGTAAATTTGAAATGCTTTACTCTTCATAATAGAAGAATGAATAGCTCATATTTTAATTCTCAGAATTGTTTGGGCATTACCAAGAGATAAGAAGTGAACTTTTATGGGCTTAAAAAAAGGCATGATTTCTTTCTGCTTAATACAAGATAATGCAATTATTCTATTATATTTAAAATATCTTATTCTGATATAATGACTATATTATGAAATATCCAATAATTTTTATATTTCTCATTTCAACTTCTTTTCTGCAATAGATAAAATGATACAATGCATAAATTTCATAAATGGTACTATTGATCAATATAATCCCAGAATTCAATTTCATTTGGAGCAACTACTCAGAGTTTGGACTTTCAAAGTTGGACTTACATCACATATTGGTTTTGGAAATATTTTCTTTAAAATGTCAATACTGTTAAAGTATGTCTTCGCTTGTTCGCTAGCATAGCTTTTCTTTAATAGTTCATAAAAACACTTATTTATATGTTTCATTATAGAAATATAATCTGGAAAATACCATAAACCAAGATACCTGTGAGCAGGTGATTGCTGAAAAGGTAACTTGAATGAAATTCCTTCTCCTACTTCTTATTTCCAGCTCTTTGTCTCTCTGGTCTAAAAGGTGCTGGGACCTAGATACAGCTGGGGTTGAGTCTTGAGGCTATGTTGTGCTTTTATCTGTTCTAGCAGAAAGAATAGAAAAGTTGTTGGTGAGCTTCCACCTCATCCCTGCTGTGCTCCATCCATGTGTCCCTTACAGGTCCCTCAGCAGGGACTGAGAGCCTGCCAGCTTCCACAACACAGGATCACAGAGTTAGAGACCTTCTGTGATATTCTGCGCATATATCCCCCCTTTATTTCCTTTCTCTAAAAAATAGTGTGGAGAAAGAATGCAATTATGTCCTTTGTGGGAACATGGATGAAACTGGAGGCCGTTATCCTTAGAAAACTAATGCAGGAACAAAAAACCAAATACCACAAGTTTTCACTTACAGTTGGGAGCTAAACAGTGAGATCACATGGGCACGTAGAGGGGAACAACATACACTGGGGCCTATTGCAAGGTGGAGGGTGGGAGGAGGGAGAGGATCAGGAATGATAACTAATGGGTACTAGACATATTATCTAGGTGACAAAATAATATGTACAACAAACCCCCACGAAACAAGTTTACCTATGTAACAAACCTGCATATGTACCATGAACTTAAAATAAAAGTTAATTTTTTAAAAGAGAGTATGTATTTCTTAACAGAAATAGAGTAGACTAAAAAATTTACAGAATCCATTTTAAAAAATTTTTATGAAATTCACGAAAGTGAATAAATGGATAATAAATTGAAACATGGAAATTTTTGAAAACTAAAAAAATAAAATTTTGATATTTTATATATATGATTTTTGGTCAGATCTCTTTTTTTTTTTTTTTTAATTTTTTTTTTTTTTTTTTTATACTCTAAGTTTTAGGGTACATGTGCACATTGTGCAGGTTAGTTACATATGTATACATGTGCCATGCTGGTGCGCTGCACCCACTAATGTGTCATCTAGCATTAGGTATATCTCCCAATGCTATCCCTTCCCCATCCCCCGACCCCACCACAGTCCCCAGAGTGTGATATTCCCCTTCCTGTGTCCATGTGATCTCATTGTTCAATTCCCACCTATGAGTGAGAATATGCGGTGTTTGGTTTTTTGTTCTTGCGATAGTTTACTGAGAATGATGGTTTCCAATTTCATCCATGTCCCTACAAAGGACATGAACTCATCATTTTTTATGGCTGCATAGTATTCCATGGTGTATATGTGCCACATTTTCTTAATCCAGTCTATCATTGTTGGACATTTGGGTTGGTTCCAAGTCTTTGCTATTGTGAATAGTGCTGCAATAAACATACGTGTGCATGTGTCTTTATAGCAGCATGATTTATAGTCCTTTGGGTATATACCCAGTAATGGGATGGCTGGGTCAAATGGTATTTCTAGTTCTAGATCCCTGAGGAATGGCCACACTGACTTCCACAATGGTTGAACTAGTTTACAGTCCCACCAACAGTGTAAAAGTGTTCCTATTTCTCCACATCCTGTCCAGCACCTGTTGTTTCCTGACTTTTTAATGATTGCCATTCTAACTGGTGTGAGATGATATCTCATAGTGGTTTTGATTTGCATTTCTCTGATGGCCAGTGATGATGAGCATTTCTTCACGTGTTTTTTGGCTGCATAAATGTCTTCTTTTGAGAAGTGTCTGTTCATGTCCTTCGCCCACTTTTTGATGGGGTTGTTTGTTTTTTTCTTGTAAATTTGTTTGAGTTCATTGTAGATTCTGGATATTAGCCCTTTGTCAGATGAGTAGGTTGCGAAAATTTTCTCCCATGTTGTAGGTTGCCTGTTCACTCTGATGGTAGTTTCTTTTGCTGTGCAGAAGCTCTTGAGTTTAATTAGATCCCATTTGTCAATTTTGGCTTTTGTTGCCATTGCTTTTGGTGTTTTGGACATGAAGTCCTTGCCCACGCCTATGTCCTGAATGGTAATGCCTAGGTTTTCTTCTAGGGTTTTTATGGTTTTAGGTCTAACGTTTAAATCTTTAATCCATCTTGAATTGATTTTTGTATAAGGTGTAAGGAAGGGATCCAGTTTCAGCTTTCTACATATGGCTAGCCAGTTTTCCCAGCACCATTTATTAAATAGGGAATCCTTTCCCCATTGCTTGTTTTTCTCAGGTTTGTCAAAGATCAGATAGTTGTAGATATGCGGCATTATTTCTGAGGGCTCTGTTCTGTTCCATTGATCTATATCTCTGTTTTGGTACCAGTACCATGCTGTTTTGGTTACTGTAGCCTTGTAGTATAGTTTGAAGTCAGGTAGTGTGATGCCTCCAGCTTTGTTCTTTTGGCTTAGGATTGACTTGGCAATGCGGGCTCTTTTTTGGTTCCATATGAACTTTAAAGTAGTTTTTTCCAATTCTGTGAAGAAAGTCATTGGTAGCTTGATGGGGATGGCATTGAATCTGTAAATTACCTTGGGCAGTATGGCCATTTTCACGATATTGATTCTTCCTACCCATGAGCATGGAATGTTCTTCCATTTGTTTGTGTCCTTTTTTATTTCCTTGAGCAGTGGTTTGTAGTTCTCCTTGAAGAGGTCCTTCACATCCCTTGTAAGTTGGATTCCTAGGTATTTTATTCTCTTTGAAGCAATTGTGAATGGGAGTTCACTCATGATTTGGCTCTCTGTTTGTCTGTTGTTGGTGTATAAGAATGCTTGTGATTTTTGTACATTGATTTTGTATCCTGAGACTTTGCTGAAATTGCTTATCAGCTTAAGGAGATTTTGGGCTGAGACGATGGGGTTTTCTAGATATACAATCATGTCGTCTGCAAACAGGGACAATTTGACTTCCTCTTTTCCTAATTGAATACCCTTTATTTCCTTCTCCTGCCTGATTGCCCTGGCCAGAACTTCCAACACTATGTTGAATAGGAGCGGTGAGAGAGGGCATCCCTGTCTTGTGCCAGTTTTCAAAGGGAATGCTTCCAGTTTTTGCCCATTCAGTATGATATTGGCTGTGGGTTTGTCATAGATAGCTCTTATTATTCTGAAATACGTCCCATCAATACCTAATTTATTGAGAGTTTTTAGCATGAAGGGTTGTTGAATTTTGTCAAAGGCTTTTTCTGCATCTATTGAGATAATCATGTGGTTTTTGTCTTTGTCTCTGTTTATATGCTGGATTACATTTATTGATTTGCGTATATTAAACCAGCCTTGCATCCCAGGGATGAAGCCCACTTGATCATGGTGGATAAGCTTTTTGATGTGCTGCTGGACTCGGTTTGCTAGTATTTTATTGAGGATTTTTGCATCAATGTTCATCAAGGATATTGGTCTAAAATTCTCTTTTTTGGTTGTGTCTCTGCCCGGCTTTGGTATCAGAATGATGCTGGCCTCATAAAATGAGTTAGGGAGGATTCTCTCTTTTTCTATTGATTGGAATAGTTTCAGAAGGAATGGTACCAGTTCCTCCTTGTACCTCTGGTAGAATTCGGCTGTGAATCCATCTGGTCCTGGACTCTTTTTGGTTGGTAAACTATTGATTATTGCCACAATTTCAGAGCCTGTTATTGGTCTATTCAGAGATTCAACTTCTTCCTGGTTTAGTCTTGGGAGAGTGTATGTGTCGAGGAATGTATCCATTTCTTCTAGATTTTCTAGTTTATTTGCGTAGAGGTGTTTGTAGTATTCTCTGATGGTAGTTTGTATTTCTGTGGGATCGGTGGTGATATCCCCTTTATCATTTTTTATTGTGTCTATTTGATTCTTCTCTCTTTTTTTCTTTATTAGTCTTGCTAGCGGTCTATCAATTTTGTTGATCCTTTCAAAAAACCAGCTCCTGGATTCATTGATTTTTTGAAGGGTTTTTTGTGTCTCTATTTCCTTCAGTTCTGCTCTGATTTTAGTTATTTCTTGCCTTCTGCCAGCTTTTGAATGTGTTTGCTCTTGCTTTTCTAGTTCTTTTAATTGTGATGTTAGGGTGTCAATTTTGGATCTTTCCTGCTTTCTCTTGTAGGCGTTTAGTGCTATAAATTTCCCTCTACACACTGCTTTGAATGCGTCCCAGAGATTCTGGTATGTGGTGTCTTTGTTCTCGTTGGTTTCAAAGAACATCTTTATTTCTGCCTTCATTTTGTTATGTACCCAGTAGTCATTCAGGAGCAGGTTGTTCAGTTTCCATGTAGTTGAGCGGCTTTGAGTGAGATTCTTAATCCTGAGTTCTAGTTTGATTGCACTGTGGTCTGAGAGATAGTTTGTTATAATTTCTGTTCTTTTACATTTGCTGAGGAGAGCTTTACTTCCAACTATGTGGTCAATTTTGGAATAGGTGTGGTGTGTTGCTGAAAAAAATGTATATTCTGTTGATTTGGGGTGGAGAGTTCTGTAGATGTCTATTAGGTCTGCTTGGTGCAGAGCTGAGTTCAATTCCTGGGTATCCTTGTTGACTTTCTGTCTCGTTGATCTGTCTAATGTTGACAGTGGGGTGTTAAAGTCTCCCATTATTAATGTGTGGGAGTCTAAGTCTCTTTGTAGGTCACTCAGGACTTGCTTTATGAATCTGGGTGCTCCTGTATTGGGTGCATAAATATTTAGGATAGTTAGCTCCTCTTGTTGAATTGATCCCTTTACCATTATGTAATGGCCTTCTTTGTCTCTTTTGATCTTTGTTGGTTTAAAGTCTGTTTTATCAGAGACTAGGATTGCAACCCCTGCCTTTTTTTGTTTTCCATTGGCTTGGTAGATCTTCCTCCATCCTTTTATTTTGAGCCTATGTGTGTCTCTGCACGTGAGATGGGTTTCCTGAATACAGCACACTGATGGGTCTTGACTCTTTATCCAGTTTGCCAGTCTGTGTCTTTTAATTGCAGAATTTAGTCCATTTATATTTAAAGTTAATATTGTTATGTGTCAATTTGATCCTGTCATTATGATGTTAGCTGGTGATTTTGCTCATTAGTTGATGCAGTTTCTTCCTAGTCTCGATGGTCTTTACATTTTGGCATGATTTTGCAGCGGCTGGTACCGGTTGTTCCTTTCCATGTTTAGCGCTTCCTTCAGGAGCTCTTTTAGGGCAGGCCTGGTGGTGACAAAATCTCTCAGCATTTGCTTGTCTATAAAGTATTTTATTTCTCCTTCACTTATGAAGCTTAGTTTGGCTGGATATGAAATTCTGGGTTGAAAATTCTTTTCTTTAAGAATGTTGAATATTGGCCCCCACTCTCTTCTGGCTTGTAGGGTTTCTGCCGAGAGATCCGCCGTTAGACTGATGGGCTTTCCTTTGAGGGTAACCCGACCTTTCTCTCTGGCTGCCCTTAACATTTTTTCCTTCATTTCAACTTTGGTGAATCTGACAATTATGTGTCTTGGAGTTGCTCTTCTCGAGGAGTATCTTTGTGGCGTTCTCTGTATTTCCTGAATCTGAACGTTGGCCTGCCTTGCTAGATTGGGGAAGTTCTCCTGGATAATATCCTGCAGAGTGTTTTCCAACTTGGTTCCATTCTCCACATCACTTTCAGGTACACCAATCAGACGTAGATTTGGTCTTTTCACATAGTCCCATATTTCTTGGAGGCTTTGCTCATTTCTTTTTATTCTTTTTTCTCTAAACTTCCCTTCTCGCTTCATTTCATTCATTTCATCTTCCATTGCTGATACCCTTTCTTCCAGTTGATCGCATCGGCTCCTGAGGCTTCTGCATTCTTCATGTAGTTCTCGAGCCTTGGTTTTCAGCTCCATCAGCTCCTTTAAGCACTTCTCTGTATTGGTTATTCTAGTTATACATTCTTCTAAATTTTTTTCAAAGTTTTCAACTTCTTTGCCTTTGGTTTGAATGTCCTCCCGTAGCTCAGAGTAATTTGATCGTCTGAAGCCTTCTTCTCTCAGCTCGTCAAAATCATTCTCCATCCAGCTTTGTTCCGTTGCTGGTGAGGAACTGCGTTCCTTTGGAGGAGGAGAGGCGCTCTGCGTTTTAGAGTTTCCAGTTTTTCTGTTCTGTTTTTTCCCCATCTTTGTGGTTTTATCTACTTTTGGTCTTTGATGATGGTGATGTACAGATGGGTTTTCGGTGTAGATGTCCTTTCTGGTTGTTAGTTTTCCTTCTAACAGACAGGACCCTCAGCTGCAGGTCTGTTGGAATACCCTGCCGTGTGAGGTGTCAGTGTGCCCCTGCTGGGGGGTGCCTCCCAGTTAGGCTGCTCGGGGGTCAGGGGTCAGGGACCCACTTGAGGAGGCAGTCTGCCCGTTCTCAGATCTCCAGCTGCGTGCTGGGAGAACCACTGCTCTCTTCAAAGCTGTCAGACAGGGACACTTAAGTCTGCAGAGGTTACTGCTGTCTTTTTGTTTGTCTGTGCCCTGCCCCCAGAGGTGGAGCCTACAGAGGCAGGCAGGCCTCCTTGAGCTGTGGTGGGCTCCACCCAGTTCGAGCTTCCCGGCTGCTTTGTTTACCTAAGCAAGCCTGGGCAATGGCGGGCGCCCCTCCCCCAGCCTCGTTGCCGCCTTGCAGTTTGATCTCAGACTGCTGTGCTAGCAATCAGCGAGATTCCGTGGGCATAGGACCCTCTGAGCCAGGTGTGGGATATAGTCTCGTGGTGCGCCGTTTCTTAGGCCGGTCTGAAAAGCGCAATATTAGGGTGGGAGTGACCCGATTTTCCAGGTGCGTCCGTCACCCCTTTCTTTGACTCGGAAAGGGAACTCCCTGACCCCTTGCGCTTCCCAGGTGAGGCAATGCCTCGCCCTGCTTCGGCTCGCGCACGGTGCGCGCACACACTGGCCTGCGCCCACTGTCTGGCACTCCCTAGTGAGATGAACCCGGTATCTCAGATGGAAATGCAGAAATCACCCGTCTTCTGCGTCGCTCACGCTGGGAGCTGTAGACCGGAGCTGTTCCTATTCGGCCATCTTGGCTCCTCCACCGATTTTTGGTCAGATCTTATCAGATTATCATTGTTTTTCCTTCTAAGGTAGTCATAAATAAGTCGCACTAAAAGTTTCCCATACTTGTATTTTAGAATTCTTTTTTGAGGCTCTCCTAATCCTACTCCAACTGAGCTGTTGCCCCTCCACATCATTGAAACTCCACTTGTCAACATCACCATAACTTTGTGCATTATCTAATCCACCTGCTGTCTTCCTCATTTCCATCCTTTGTTTGCTCAGATAAATACCATTGGCATTCCCTTCAACTCCTGTCTTTCTCTAGCATCACATGTCCAATTTGTCAGAAAATCCTGTTGTCATCCTACTTTCAAAAGTCCTACTTTCAGAAACAATATCCACTGCTACCTTCCTGGTTCAAGACATCATTAGCTCTATTCTGTATTATTTTTGGTTTCCTTATTTCTGCTCTTATCCCTTCATGGTCTGTTCTCAATACTCCATCCAAGCGATTTTTTAAATTATAAAAGTGTAATTCAAATCACATGTTTCTTCTGCTTAAAACCTTTAGTAGTTTAGTCTTTTGAGAAAGATAATTTGTATGTTCATCTTTGATTAGTCTCTATTAGGAGCTATATCAAATCTGTCATATATTTATACATTATGTACTATATACATTCTATAGGTATAGTCACTAAATAAACAATGCAGTAAAAATCAGCATAATTGTATGAAAATTATCTTCAATTAATACATCTTACCTTGGAAGGAAATATATGGATTACAACAAAGCATGTAGTGTGTATGCTAAAATTAGTTATGATAATATAGGAAGATTATATTATAAACCACAATATCTTATGCAAATATGTCAATTCATTAATTCAATCCAATTTATTGAGTACCGGTTAAGAACCAGATGCTGTTCCAGATGCTGGAGAAACAGCAACACAAGATAAAGTCCCTGTGTTTATTATTTAGTTCAATCCTCTCATTTTACAAAAAAGGCAAGTTTGTCTAGCACAAAGTAGAAAGCTACTAAAATATAGAATGTTAAGAACTATAATTTCAGGACTTTTATGCACGTAGAAACACATATATAGCACAGTGTCTGTCTCATAGCAAGCATTTAATATGGTAGCTCTTGTGCTGCATATTTTCTCATTTAGTTATTATAACAGACTTACGGAGTGAGTTCTATTATTTTCTTAATTTTTCACTCAGAAAATGTGGCTTGGAGAGGTCAAATCATTTGGCCAAATTCATAAAGCTAGCAGGCAGAAAATCCAGGACTCAAATTTAGGTTTTCTGACTCCAAAATTGATGTTTTTAACTATCCTGAATGGCAAACTAAAGCTACTTTGACACAAAATTAGTGTGACTTTGGGTCTTTAAGAGCTGCATAGAGGTATCAGACATCTTTAAGTCCAGCACAAAAGATATACTAATAATAATTAAAATTGGTTAAATTTTCTCACAAAAGCTTTATTTATGATTTTTCTTTTGCTAGAAAATAAAAATGTAAAAAATAAGTATGGGGGACTTCCATTTATAGAAATATACACTAGACTCAATTTTCTATATTCTTCCTCTACAGGTAAAGACACTGAACAGTATATGTAAAAAGGATATCAGAAGACTCTGAAAGGTAGAGAGAAGAAAGAAGACTTGCCTCAGGACCTGAAGAAAGACGTGGTGGTGGGTTCCCAGAATTATTTTTTCATTCAAACATCACAAGCTTGAAGCTGAAAAAGCCAGCAACCCAGAAATGAACGGGCAAAAATAGACTTTCAAAAAGCCTGCTCCCTCTAGTTGAAGGACCAAAAAAAAAAGGAAAGCCTAGTAATACAGAAAACATTCAGACAATAATTTTTCTACTCCAGTGAAACGCCATAAAAGAAACAGATGAAAAAGCAGAGTGACCCTACTCCTAGCCATACCAGCAAGGGCCTAGTCGGTGCCTAGACTTCTACACTCTTTAGGCTGTAATGTGGCATCCAACAGCCTTGCCAGGGTAGTGTAAGATTAGACAATGTAGGAAGCTAGAACTTCTATCCGCACCATCTGGTAATGAGTGACTCTCCCAAATCTCCCTCACATGGTAAAAATGTCAGTGAAGAACATATAGGGAGTCTAGTCTTCCATCTCCACCTGGCAGTAATGAGGTACTCCTCCCTCTCCCCGCTAGAGTGGTGTCAGAGGAGATCTAGTGGAGAGTGATGGCTTTGGGCATTAACTCTCAAATGGAGAGGCTACCTGGGAATCCAGAACACCCATCTTATCCAGGAGTAAGGAGGAACTCCCCAACTCAGGTGCCAGTGGAGGCCAAGTTAGGAAGCTGAATATCTACGCCCACCTAGTAGTAATACTACAGTGTGCCCAAAACCCTTTTCTCTGCCAGAATGATGTGAGGGAAAACCAGGTTTAAAAGAATGTTTTAAATAAGATCTAGACTGTCATCATAACATCACATAGAAATGTCCAGATTTCAATAAAAAAATAAAGAACCAGAAAGATCTCCAATTGAAAAAATAATAAATAAATAGATGACAACACTGAGATAACAGAGATGTTAGAATTGTCAAAGATTTTAAAGCACCCGTGACTTTTAAAAAATGACCCAGTGAACAATTATAAACATGCCAGAAACAAATAAAAATATAGCAAAGAAATGTCAAGTCTCAGAAAATAAATAGAAGAAATAAAGGAAATCAAATGAACATTTTAAAACTTAAAAATGCAATATCCAACAGAAGAATGATGTGGACAGAAGAAAGAATCAGTGACCCGGAAGTTAGATAAATAGGAGCTACTCAATGTGAATAACAGAAAATAGACTGAAAAAACGAACAGAACCCTAGAGACTTTGGAACTATAACAAAAGATCTAACATTCATGCTATCAGAATCATGAATGTGGGAAAAGTATGTGAAGAAACAATGGCTGAAAACTTCCCAAATTGGTGTGACACATAGCTACAGGTTCAAGAGACTAAATGGATCACAAATAGGATAAACCCAAAGAAACACACACCAAAACACATAATAATTAAAATTCTGAAAATTAAGGAGAAAGAAAAAATCTTGAAGGCTATGAGAAAGAAATGCCACCTTACCTTTAGGGCAAAAACAATTGGAATAATGGTGGGTTTTTTATCAAACATCGTGGAGGCCAGAAGTAAGTAAATATACACATAATACACGCTCTAGCAGGTGTACTTCTAGGCATTTATCTCAGAGAAATGAGGTCTTATGTTTACACAAAACCAAATGTTTATAGTGACTTGCAATAGGTGAATAATGGAAACAGCTCAGATTTTGCTCAACAGATGAATAGTTCAACAAACTGTGGTACATTCATGCTCTAGAATATTATTTAGCAATAAAAAAAAAAACAGGCCAGGCATGGCTGCTCATGCCTGTAATATCAGCACTTTGGGAGGCTGAGGCAGGAGGTAGCTTGAGCTCAGGAGTTCGAGACCAGCTTGGGAAACATAGGAAGATTCTGTCTCTACAAAATAAAATTTAAAACAACAGCAACAAAATCCCCTAGCCAGGTGTGATGGCATGTGCCTGTGGTCCCAGTTACTCAGGAGGCTGAGGTAGGAGGATCGCTTGGGCCTGGGAGGTCGAGGCTACACTTAGTCGTGATGGTGCCACTGCACTCCAGCCTGGGTGACAGAGTAAGATTCTGTCTCGAAAAGAAAAGAAAAGAAAAGAAAAACAGGAAAAAAGAAAAGAAAAGAACAATCAAATTATGAATATGTGCAACAACATGAGTGAATCTCTAGAGAATTATGCTGAATGAAAAAAATCAATCTCAAAATGTTGTATATTATGTGACTCCATTTATATAACATTTTTGAAATGATAAAAGTATTAAAATGGATAAAGATGAGTGGTTTCCAGGATTTAAAAAGAGTAGAGTGGGAAAAAGTGGGTGTGGTCAGGGAAGGTAAAAATGAGGCATCCTCATAGTGATGAAAATATTCTGGATCTTAGCAATGTCAATATACTGGCTGTGATGTCATACTGTAGTGTTGCAAGATGTTATCATTGGTAAAGTCAGGGACATGGACAAATAGGCAAAAACTGTGTCAAGCAAAGGAGAAGGGAATGTGTATGAAGAAATTAAGAATGTTGTGGGAGTGCCAGAAATTATACTCACTGGGATTTTAGGGATTAGAGAAATTTCTGCAAGAAGTGACAATATGAATATTTAAGTTGTTGTTTTTTACTCTATGTTCTTACCAATTACATGGATAATAGTGTTTAATGTAACAGTGAAAATGCAGTTACTATGGAGAAATATATTATTAGCCACAGGTGTATTTACTATTAGAGTAATGATGGGGAATATTTGTTCTCCTTTTAGCTTGTCAAATTTCATGAAAAACTCTTTGAAATTTTCATTTTAATTATATTGAATCTATGCATTTATTTAATACAAAGCAGCATCTTTGTAATCTTGAGTTTTGAAAAACAATTTGGGTTATCTCTTAATTTTAAAAAATATTTTAATGTCCTCCACAAAAGTTTTATAATATTCTGGATACAAATTTCATGCATTTTTAAGATATTTTTCCTTTATGACTCTTAAGTATTTTATTGTTATAGTAAATATAAAAGTATCTCATTAAATTTTCTATTTGTTGCTACTATATATGCTATTTACCTTAATAACATCTTACTTCTAAAAATTTGTGTAGAGATTCTTCAGATTTTTAGTGTACTATCATCTGAGAATAAAACGTAATGTCTTCCTAACCAATCATTAAATCTTACATTTATTTTTCTTGTCTTAGTGTATTAATTAAAAGTACAGAAGAATTATCAAGTACAGCTGGTGATCATAGCCATTCTTATTCCCTTATTTTGAAGAGAATGCTTCTAATGCTTTCCCCATTACTGATTATATTTGCTCTAGGCTTTTGTGTGTGAGTATGTGTGGATGGGGCAGTGGTAGAGAATTCAAAGATGTAACTTTGAAGGTTAAACATGTGGTGATATCATTAATTAATATCAGAAATATAGGGGAATGAGAAATATGAGTAGGGAGTACAGGGCAGAAGTTCCTTCCACTGGTGACAACGACATGCAAGTCCAGCATTGCACTCTTTACCTCTACTCGGTACTCAGATATGTTCATCCTTCAAATCCATCGTACAGCATTCTTGGATTCTCTCAGAAAATCTTAGACTCATCTTTTTCTACATGTCCACTGAACTCTGCATACATTAGCTTTGCAGCAATTATAGCACTGTGCAGAAATAGTACATTTACATGCCTATTGGCCAACATTATATCAGGTATTCTTTTTCATTTTATCAACCTCACATCCAGTCTCTCAATTAAAAGCCCTGTCAATTTATCTATAAAGTAGGCTTTGAATCTATCGATTCAAAGTCAATTACTATATTGCCTATATGTTTAAAAGATTGCTAAATTGACTACTTTCTTCAGTCTAAGCCCCCATTGCCTCCCTCCTGAACTGGTATCATAGCTTCCGGCCTTCACTCTCATCCCACTAGTCTGTGCTCCATAGAGCAGCCTTGGTGATCAATTAAAATAGAAATAAAATCATGCCACTCCTTAGCCAATGGCTTCCTATATATTTGGAACAAAATTCAAACTTCTTACCTTGGCTTAACAATACCTATATTATTTGGCATCTTTTTACTGAATGCCAGAATTACTGGCCTTCTTTCAGTTGTGTAGGCAAATCCTGCTTCTCTCACCTTGAGGCCTTGGTAGGTAATATTGTTTCTCACCAGAATCTTCTCACTAATCTTCTTATGGCAAACACTCTTCTGTCACTCAGATCTCAACCCATTACCACCTGAGAGGCCTTCCCTGTTTATTCAATAAAGCAGATAATCACGTTTATCAAATTATATAATTTTCCATTTTAGTTTTCTGCACAGCAATTATCACCATCTAATATTTTTCATGTTACTATATGTTTTATTGTATTTTCCTTTTATTAGAATATAAAATCAATGAGAGCACAAACACCCTATTTTTCTTCAATGTTGAATCTCTTATGCCCTGGTGAATGAAAAGGGCGTGTGTAAACTTATTGAATGTATCTGATGTATACATATGTCTGTCTCCTCCCTGAGCTGTGAGAATTCATGAGGGTGGGGTTCATTTGCTAATTTTTAGGCAAAAAACACTTAGCAAAATTTCTAGAATAATCCCAAGCCCCCTGATGTGTACTATAACATTCTTCTCTCACAACTATACCTACAAAAATTCTGGTCGTTCTATAAAATTTTTGAAGATTCCTTATCTTTCTCTTAGTAATTCTTCTCACTTCTGGGGTCTCCCATATCTTAGTGGATAAAGCAAAGGCTCTGCTCTCAGTACTAATAGTCCACTCCATAACAAAACAAGCCAATGAAAACCAAACCAAGACAAAGTAAAGAAAAAGTACTGTTGACAAAATAGTTTCAGTCCCAGTGCCAAAATTCTGTTTGTATGATCGAATGATTTAAAAAATTTTTGGTCAGTGCCTCGTTAACACAGTCAAATATATGTTCACATACACACACACACGCACACACACACACACCTCTCTAACTTGACTTTTTGTCCATCTAGACAGTAAAATGATGAATTACAGTTGACTGATAGAAAGTTTATTGTTCATAATTCTAATTTTTCCAGCATATATTGTATATTTAATTAAAACAATCTTTGTATAACCTCTGAATAAGAATATTGTTCTGAGCATCTTTCACTTTCTCCTTTAGGTCCACTTTCTGCCAGTTTTTCACTCTCCTGTCTTCTCTGAGAGCCTGGCCTGTATGGATTTTGAGAGGTTCTCATGTGTTCTAACATCCCCTATGTCCAACCAATGGGAAGCCCCAGAAGTTTAGCGGGGAGTTGCAGAATGAGGTCAGGGCATTATTTGCCTAACTCTCTCCTTGCAAGATAAGCTGACCTTTGTCCAGGTCACTGTTCTAAATTCTCTGTTAACTAATCTCTTCTCTCTTCTCTTTACTGAGTCTTAGATTGCAACACTACCTCTCGCGATTCCCCTGTACTTAACACCTCTGTAACTAGGTCCGTTGTAGATGCACCCTCCTCCAGGTGCCTTATTTGGAGTGTGCCATCTGTTTTGTGTTGGCCTGTTGACTGATATAGGTGTTGGAGGACTGTCAAAGTGGTATCCAAAGCATATTTTTGTTAATGATATGAGGACAGATTCCACATCCTAAGCCAAATTTTATTTTTAAAAACTTTCATTTTTAGAGCTTCAGATCTCTACTTTATATACTCAGATAAGTATTCAAAATATTCTTGAAAGGCTCTGTGACAACTTTGTGTGCCTGTATATGTGTGTATGCAGGGGTGAAGATGAGAGGCTGAAGAAAAGACAGGGGGATTTAGGAGGCAGATGGCAGATAGCAGACAGGACAATTGTGCAGCTCCCACTTGGACAGATAGAACAGTGTGTGGAGACTCATACAGCGGATTTTCTCCAAGAACCACTGCAGGAATGTACCAAGAAAACTGAAATAATTCACAGATTATTTGAAATAAGCAGCATGCCTCTGCAAATTCCATAAGACAGGAGAGAAACTGTGAGTTACCAAGGGCGAAAGGGGAAAACCTGCCTCCAAACACACATCCTTGTCATGCACATCCATGTGAAGAGACCACCAAACAGGCTTTGTGTGAGCAATAAAGCTTTTTTATCACCTGGGTGAAGGTGGGCTGAGTCCGAAAAGAGAGTCAGCAAAGGGTGGTGGGATTATCATTAGTTCTTACAGGTTTGGGATAGGCGGTGGAGTTAGGAGCAATTTTTTGTGGGCAGGGGGTGGATCTTACAAAGTACATTCCTAAGGGCAGGGGAGAATATTACAAAGTACCTTCTCAAGGGTGGGGAGGGTGTATAGTACAAAGTACCTTCACAAGGGTGAGGGAATATCACAAATTACATTACCGCAAGGGTAGGGAGGGTGTATTGTCACAAAGTCAATTGATCAGTTAGGGTGGGGCAGGAACAAATTACAATGGTGGAATGTCATCAGTTAAGGCAGGAACTGGCTATTTTCACTTCTTCTGTGGATCTTCAGTTGCTTCAGGCCATCTGGATGTATACGTGCAGGTCACAGGGGATATGATGGCTTAGCTTGGGCTCAGAGGCCTGACAATCCTCACTGGGGAACCTGAAAAATCCAGATTACAGGATAAGGATTTAACCTTACCTAGAGCTGAAACAGATTTAGCATGAACTACAAAAGTAGAAGCAGTAGCAAGAAGAGCCTTGTAGGTACTCCCATTCTCCAGCTCAAACTCAGAGAAGCCATCCCTGACTATATCTCACAGGGGCCCTTGGGGAAGGTAGCCAGAAGAATCTGGGAGAGGTTACAAGGTGAAAGAAGCTTCCAGTTGAACATTGTAATGATTTCAACTGATGCAAACTCTTTTGAGCAGAATTGGGTATTGAATGGAAACTGCGCAGAAGGAGTGCAGGGAGCTGCAGCCCACAGTGTGGGCAGTAGTGCGGAGGGGGGTGGCCTGAACACAGTGTTTGCTTTCTCAGCAGGGAAGCTTTTAGCCTGGGGCAAGGTCTGAGTCCCATCGACAAGCTGCCTGGAGATAAACATGGCAACATTTTGTTGCCATGTGCAACTGTTATCAGGACACTTTGGGAATGAGACTGGCCTCACCAACTGTGTGGGAGCTAGATGAGGCCTATTGCTAACTGCTTTCCCCCACTTCCCTAGCTACCAACCCCATTAGCTTGAGAACCACCCTGCCATCCCCCATAGTAGCCATGGCAAACCCCACCCAAGGAGATTCTGAGCTTAGATCTACCTAAATCTGCCCCTACCTGATGGTATTTCTCTCCCTGCCCTGGTAGCCCATCACAAAGATGTAAATTATTGGTAAGCTTTTATCCCCTTTCTACTATCACAACTGATTCTCTCTTGAAAGCATCACCTCCTGCTGGAGGCCAATCAACCCAGGACATTATAGCAACTCATGACAGAATAACCCTGCTTCAAGGAAGGAGAAAACAACAGTGAATTCCACTGCCTGCAACATCCTGGCTAACAAGAGGTCCTGAGACTGTCCACGTGACAACCTCACTGCTATCATAACCAGCATTCAAGAAAGCCAGCACAGTAAACATATCTACAACCAAGGACTCTCATGAAGTCTACTTCACTCCCCTGCCACCTCCACCAGAGCAGGTGCTGGTATGCACAGCTGGGAAACCTGAAGTGGATCACATCACAGAAATCATTACAGGCATTCCCCAGCACCAATCTGGAGACTGGTAGTTCCACCCACTGGGTGGCTAGACCCAAAAGAATAATAGCAATCACTGGAGTCCAGCTCTCAGGAAACCCCATTTCTAGGAGAAAGGAAGAGCATCACATCAAGCGATCACACTGTGGGATAAAAAAAATCTGAACAGCAGCCTTTGAGTTCCAGATTTTTCCTCTGAAATAGTCTACCCAAATTAGAAGCAATCAGGAAAGTAATTTTGGTAATATGACAAAACAAGGTTCTATAACACCCCCAAAAGCCCACACTAGCTCCTCAACAATGTATCCATACCAAAAATAAATCTCTGAATTGCCAGATAATGAATTCAGAAGGTTGATTATTAAGCTACTCAAGGAGATAACAGAGGAAGGTGAAAACCAACGTAAACGAATTAAAAACACAATACAGGATATGGATGAAAACTTCCCCAGAGAAATGGATATCATAAAGAAAAACAATTACAACTTCTGGAAATAAAAGACACATTTATAGAAATACAAAATGCACTGGAAATTGTCTCCAATAGACTAGAAAAAGTAGAAAAAAGAACCTCAGCACTTGAAGACAAGGCTTTTGAATTAACCCAATCCAACAAAGACAAAGAAACAAGAATTTTAAAAAGTAAAGCCTCCAAGAAATTTGGGATTATGTTAAATAACTAAACTAAGAATAATTGGTGTTCCTGAGGAAATAGAGAAATCTAAAAGTTTGGAAAACATCTTTGAGGGAATAATCAAGAAAAACTACTCTGGTGTTGCTAGAGGTCTACACATCCAAATACAAGAAGCTCAAAGAACACCAGGGAAATTCATCACAAAAAGATCATCACATAGTTACATAGTCATCAGGTTATCTGAAGTCAAGATGAAGGAAAGAATCTTAAGAGCTGTGAGACAAAAGCATAAGTCAACATATAGAGGAAAACCTATCAGATTAACAGCAGATTTCTCAGCAGAAACCCTACAAGCTAGAGGGATTGGGGACTTATCTTTAGCTTCCATAAACAAAATAATTGCCAACCAAGAATTTTGTATGCAGCAGAACTAAGGTTTATAAATGAAGAAGAGAGAAAGTCTTTTTCAGATAAACAAGTGCTGAGAGAAACTACCACTCCAAACTCAGAACTACAAGAAATACCAATAGAAGTGCGAAATCTTGAAACAAAACCTCAAAATACAACAAAATAGAACTTCCTTAAACCATAAATCTCAGGGCCTATAAAACAATAATACAATGAAAAAGAAAAGGTATTCAGGCAACAACTAGCAAAATGAATAAAACAGTATCTCACATCTCAACACTTACATTGAATGTAAATAGCCTAAATGTTCCACTTAAAAGACACAGAATGGCAGAACGGATAAAAACCTACCAACCAAGTATCTGCTGTTTTCAAGAGACTCACCTAACACATAAAGACTCACATAAACTTAAGGTAAAGGGTTGGAAAAAGATATTCCATGCAAATGGAAATCAAAATTGAGCAGGAATGGCTATTCTAATATCAGACAAAACAGACTTGAAAGAACAACAGTTTAAAAAAGACAAAGAGATATTATATAAAGATTAAAGGATCATTCCAACAGGAAAATATCACAGTCCTAAATATACATGCATCTAACACTGGATAAATTTATAAAACAGGTATTATTTGACATAAGAAATGAGATAAATGGCAACACAATAATAGTAGGGAACTTTAATACTCCACTAACAGCACTAGATAGCTCATCAAGACAAAAAAATCAACAAAGAAACAATGGACTTAAACTATACCCTACAACAAATGGACTTAACAGATATTTATAGAACATTCTGCCCAACAGCTGCAGAATATAGTTGATTCTGTTCATTAACATATGGAACATTCCCCAAAATCGATCATATATGATGGGCCACAAAACTCATCTCAATAAATTTAAGAAAATCAAACTTATATTAAGTATTCTCTCAAACAACAGTGGAATAAAATTGGAAATTAACTCCAAAGGAACACTCAAAACTATACTAATACATGGAAATTAAATAATCTGCTCCTGAATAATCTTTGGGTAAACAATGAAATCAAGATGTAAACTAAAAATTCTTTGAACTGAATAATAATAATGACACAACTTATCAAAACCTCAAGGATACGGCAAAAGCACTGCTAAGAGGAAAGTTAATAGCATTAAATGCCTACATCAAAAAGTCTGAAAGAGCACACACAGACAATCTAAGGTCACATCTCAAGAAAGTAGAGAAACAGAAATAAACCAAACTCAAACCCAGTAGAAGAAAAGAAACAATAAAGATCAGAGCAAAACTAAATGAAATTGAAATAAACAAATAAAAATACAAAGGATAAATGAAACAAATAGCTGGTTCTTTGAAAAAATAAACAAAACTGAAAAACCATTAGAAAGATTAACCAAGAAGAGAGAAGATCCAAATAAGCTCAATTAGAAATGAAATAGGAGCTATAACAATCAATATCACAGAAATAAAAAAGATCATTCAACGTTACTATTGAGACCTTTATGTGCACAAATTAGAGAACTTAAAGGAGAAGGATAAATTACTGGAAATATACAATCATGCTAGGTTAAACCAGGAAAATATAGAATCTCTGAACAGACCAATAACATGTAACAATATTGAAATGTTAATTTAAAAATTGCCAACAAAAAAAGGTCCAGGACCAGACAGATTTCCAGCTGAGGGAATAATCAAGAAAGATCCAAAAAAGAGGTCTTCAAAAAAAGAGTTGTTACTAATCTTACTGAAACTATTCCAAAAAGAAAAGGAAAAGGGAATCCTCCCTAAATCATTTTATGAAGCCAGTATCACCCTAATACCAAAACCAGGAAAGGACGTAACAAAAAAAGTACACTACAGAACAATATTCCTGATGAACATAGATGAAATATCCTCAACAAAATATCAGCCAGCCAAACCCAACAGCATATCAAAAAGATAATACACCATGATCAAGTGGGTTTCATATGAAGGATGCAGGGATAATTTAGCATACACAAGTCAATAAATGTGATACATCACATGAACAGATTTAAAAACAAAAATTATATGATCATCTCAATAGATGCAGAAAAAGCATTTAACAAAATCCAGCATCACTTTATGATTAAAACCCTTAGCAAAAATCAGCTTAGAAGGAACATACCTTAAGGTAATAAAAGCCATCTATCACAAACCTGCAGCCAACATTCTACAGAATGGGGAAAAGTTGAAAGTATTCCCCCAAGACCCACAACAAGGTGAGGATGAACACTTTCACTGCTATTCAACGTTTTTTGGAAGTCCTAGCAAGAGCAATCACACAAGAGAAAGAAATAAGGGGCATTCAAATCAGTAAAGAGGGAGTCAAATTTTTGCTGTTCACCAATTGTATAATCTTATACTAAGAAAACCCTAGAGACTCATCCAAAAAGCTCCTAGATCTGATAAATAAATTCAGTACAGTTTCAGGATACAAAATCAATGTACACAAATCAGTAGCACTGCTATACACCAACAACCACCAAGCTGAGAATCATATCAAGAATCCAATCCCTTTTACAACAGTTCCAAAAAAACTAAAATAAAATACTTCAGAATATACCTAACCAAGGAGGTGAAAGATCTCTACAAGGAAAACTACAAAACACTGCTGAAAGAAATCATAAATGACACAAACAAATGGAAATACATGTTCATGGATGGGCATAATCAATATATTAAAACGACCATACTGCCAAAAGCAATCTACAAATTCAATGCAATTTCTATCAAAATACCACCATAATTCTTCACAGACCTTGGAAAAGCAATCTTAAAATTTATATGAAACCAGAAGGAGCCCGCATAGCCTAAGCAAGACAAACCAAAAAAATAATGTGTGTGTGCATATATATAATAAGCCTATATATATAATAAGCCTATATATAATAAGCCTATATATAATAAGCATATATATAGTAAGCCTAAGCAAGACAAAGCAAAAAAATAATGTGTGTGTGCGTATATATAATAATGTGTGTGTGCGTATATGTGTGTGTATATATATATATATACACACACATATACGCACACACATATATAAAGGCATCACATTACCCAAATTCAGACTATACTACAAGTGTATAGTTATGAAAACAGCATGGTACTGGTATACGAATGAGCAAAAAGAAAAAATTGGGAGGCATCACATTACCCAACATTAAACTGTACTACAAGGCTGTAGTTACCAAAACAGCCTGGTACTGGTATAAAAATAGATATGTAGACCAATGGAACAGAATATAGAACCCAGAAATAAAGCCAAATATTTACAGCCAACTAACCTTTGACAAAGCAAACAAAAACCTAAAGGTGGGGAATAGACATCCTATTCAACAAATGGTGCTCGGATAATTGGCAAGCCACATGTAGAAGAAAGAAACCAGATCCTCATCTCTCACCTTATACAAAAATCAACTTAAGGTGGATCAAAGACTTAAATCTAACATCTGAAACCATAACATCAAAAAAACTCTTCCAGCCATTGGCTTAGGCAAAGTGTTCATAACTAAGAACCCAAAAGCAAATGCAACAAAAACAAAGATAAATTGATGGAACTTAATTAAACTGAAAAGTTTCTGCAGAGCGAAAGAAATAATTAGCAGAGTCAACAGACAAGCCACAGAGTGGAAGAAAATATTCACCAACTATGCAACCGACAAAGGACTAATACACAGAATGCACAAGGAACTCAAACAAATCAGCAAGAACAAACAAAATAAACAATCCCACAAGAATGTAGGAAAGGACATGAATAGACAATTCTCAAAAGGAGACATACAAATGGCCAACAAACATATGAAAAAATGCTCAACATCACCAATTATCAGGGATATGCAAGTCAAAACCACAATGAGATACTACCTTACTCTTGCAAGAATGACCACAGCTAAAAATTCAAAAAATAACAGATGGTGTGGATGTGGTAAAAAAGGAACACTTTTACACTGCTGGTAGGAATGTAGACTAATACAACCACTATAGAAAAGCAGTATGGAGATTCCATAAGTAACTAAAAGAAGAACTACCATTTGATTCATCAATTCCACTAACAAAGTCATTATATGAAAAAGACATTTGCACACACATTTATAGCAGCGCAATTTGCAATTGCAAAAACATGGAACCAGTCTAAATGCCCATCAACCAACATGTGAATAAAGAAAATGTGGTAGAATACTACTCACCTATATAAAGGAATGAAATAATGGCATTCACAGACACCTGGATGGAGTTGGAGACCATTACGTATTTTCACTTATAAGTGGGAGTTAAGCTGTAAGGACACATAGGCATAAAAATGATATAATGGACTTTGGCAACTTGGCAGGAAGAGTGGGAGGCAGCTGAGTGATTAAAGACTAATCCTTGGGTATAGTGTACACTGCTTGGGTGACGGGTGCACCAAAATCTCAGATATCACCACGAAAGATCTTTTCCATGCAAACAAACACCACCTATTCCCCAAAATCTGTTGAAATTTTAAAAAAATGGTCTGCCAGACAAAACAAAGTAAAATATTAAAAAAGAAAAGGAAAAGAAAAAGAAAAGACAGTGTCCTTACTCTCATGAGTTTATAGCCTAGTAGAAAATATAACACAAAAAATAAGTTCCTATAATAGAGCAGACTCTTAACAGGGCTAGAAATAACCACAATGTAAGAAATTTCTCCAAATATTATATAATTAAAGCATAGGCTCAAAATAAAGCACATGGGTAATGGGCATTAAATTTTGACTCAGAAGTTCTAGAGGGTGGTCTGAGTAATTTTTGTTGTTGTTTTTTAAGTTAATTTAAATTCAATTAAATTTAATTGATTTTAATGTTGGTGATTCTGATGCAGACCATCCATAGAAAATACTTTGAGAAATATCACATTAGAAGTTTAAAGGAGGAAGAGCAACTCACATGAAGTTAGGAGGAAAAGCCTGATAGAGAAATGCTATAATCTGAGTTTAAAAGTGGTTTGATTTTATATGAATAGGCAGGAAGAAAAAGAAATATCATTTCAAATGGAAAGCAAAGGAGTGTAGATTTTCATAACATAATGGTTTCTAGATTAATAAGAAAAAATACTAAATATATTCTAAATCACTAAAAAATTAAATTTTAAGGTGTCAGGAATACTCACATATTATCAACTATTTTTGTGCTATCGGATAAAATGTTCTTTTGCATTTCAGAGTATATTATAATCATGTTATTAGCTACTGTAAGAGAATGTCAGCCTGGTGCACTGAATTCACTTTCATCAGGTCATAGAACAACTAAGGTTGTAAAAATTGTGTTACTTTCTCTGTATTGAGGTCATAAAACTGCCCTGAGTCCCAGCACAGGTGGCCACTCTCCATGGGAAATGTCCCAGCCTGTAAAACAAGAAGGTGTGTCATGGATCTGTGGTGATGGCTGGAAACTGAGTACCTCCCTTGCTACATCTGCCTGAGAACTGACATAAGTCAAAGACTTCATGGGCAGAAAATACAAAGATGCCTAATTAGCAAAGTCATTTCCCATTTAAACTGCACATATACTTGAGAGCTGGAGCATTGCTAAGTAGAAGTGTCTAGCTAACTTATTTTCTTTAGAATCTGATCTTGAATGCTTTTGAATGGTTTGTTTGTTTACTTTCTATGAATTTTACCAACTATCAATCACTCACTGGTTTGATAGAACGTCCATCTTCATCTCTACCAGCTAATTTTATTACAGTGGATTCTGTGGCTACGATTTTCTTTCTCATTAATCGCAAATGAAGGATTCTATCATGAAATCATTTTAGGGTTAACTAACAATAAAGCTCAATATTTTAATTTTAAACAAGCATTATCTTTGCCTTGACATACTTAAGAAAATGTTTTTGACAATTTTATCAGTGTTTTCTTTTTGGAAGTGGGCAAACTGTTCAAATATGACTATAAGTTATAAATGCTATACTTATATTACAATCGCCATATATGGAAATATACTGATTTCCAATTAAATGGGATAATACAAAATAAAGTAGAGTATATTTGCATTAATCATTACCTTTGGTCGTAATTTAGCTACTGAAGTTAACTACTAATTTCCTGTTACTATACACTCTATTCCCTTTAAAATATTTCCCATACTGGTTTATATAAGTTCTGGGAGGTATGATCCTGTATGTCTCATTTACACACTAGAGAAATGAAATATAATTGAGTTATTTATTTTATCCTTGGGAATATGATTAATGGAACAATTAGAATCCTCAAGACTGCAACATTAATAGGCTATTTCATGAGGATTTAAGACAAGTATATGCTATAGCTACCAGTTACCAACGAAAATGGAAAGGCATTTTTTAAAGAGAGAAACAAAAGTAATGGCCTTTGAATATTGTCAGTTGACTTCCCAGAACAGTAGAATCTGGAAGCCAAAGTGTTAACATCTATAAGCTGTTCCAACAAGAGACTATATACTGTTAAATATTGGGAGTTATTTAAAATGCCAGTGAGTATAATAGCAGTGCTCTGAAATAACCATTTCATCTGCCTACATTACTCTAAAATTAATGAATAATGAAGTGATGCCCTTCACATTCTCTTCCCTTTCCATTCCAAGATATATTGATCAGATGACATTTATTTAAGTTTGGGATAATGTATTAATTTCAAGATAATTATTCAATATACTTTTGTCACTGTTGATATGCTTCAATGTCATCCAGGGGCCGGGGGATGAATAAACTGTTATCTGACATTGCTGGACAGGGTGCTAGAAATAAATGCAGTTTTTCTCCTTGAGATTCACTGACTTGGGTTTTCATTTGTTGGGGTGGGGGGTGTGGATTAAAGAGCAGAAAGCTGAAGGCAGAGAGGGTATGATGGTGTAACCTGCAGGTTAAGAGGATACAGATATTTTAAAAGATGGTACTTTGGGACAAAGTGCTTTTCCATTGTTTCAGGGGTCAGACTGATCCTCAGCAAAGCTGACAGAGCCCATCCTTAGTGGATGCCACTGTAATATTAACACTCATTTGGAGCAGATGTGACTAAAAGCATGAAACATTGAACAAACAGCTGCCACAGATCCAGTGCCATTGCATAAGCGCTTATGTTCTATTAATGCAGTGGATTGCTGAGGCCAGTAGGGCAGACGTTATTCCCCACAGTTCTTTAGCAGATGGGCCAAACACAATGGCTCTTCAGAGAAGTGCTGCCCTGTTGAAGCAATTCCTCCATCTTATGTAAGATTCTAATGCAAAATCATCTACCCATTAAAAAAGATGTATTAAGGTCAGATTATGCTTTGTCAAGATATTTTGTAGATATACTATGTACTTCAATATGTGCTCATTTTACTTTATTCCTTTTTATTTTGTTTTGATTTTGATAGTGTACCAATGCTCCAATGCTATTTCTTCCTTTCTCAGCTTGTGATTGTGTGTGTTAATTCATGATATACATAGAACTCTTGTGTTTCTACACATGAGATAAGTTGAGATCCCAGTACTTCAAAGTTGCATCTCTACTTATCTGATTCAGTGGGCTCAGACGTGGTGTTTCCAAGTCTTCACTTGCTAATTTGACATCCATATGGGCTTCTAAGATTTTCTTCTGTTCATTGAAGCAATTTGGAATTTAGGATTACAAAGTAAAAATATCAGACATTATAGGTAACAGCTATAATTTGTTCATAATAAAAATTAACAGGTCTCTTGCTTTCCTGTAATGGTGAGACTATATATGGCTGGTATTTGCAAATTCAAAGAGAAAAAGAGCAGGTGATGATTCTAGTTTGTTCTCTCTTGGGCTGATTTGTACTGCTGCTTTCTTACTTCCCATGCAGACAAGGGCCACCTGGGCAATTAATCTGTAACAGGCTGACACACTAATCTCCAGCAAATCGGTAATTCTTTCAAACTGGGCAGAAATGGGAGAGGTGTTATATGAAAATATATTTTTATGGATTCCCAGAGAATGTTTCCTAACTACAATTGTACTTTAGCATATTATACCATCTAAGTTCTCTTCTCCAACTTCAGGATGGAAAAGAAAGTAAGGGAAGGACTGAGTGAGGAGAAAAATAAGTGAAACCATAACTGGAAGATGTATTGGAAAGCAAAATGTATATTATTTACTTATTCTACAGTTTGGGGGGCACATAAGATTCGTCAAACACTATTCAAATGGTACATTAATTAAGTCAATGATCACCAGAATCCTATATTTAATACAGAGCAATTAATAAAATACAATAAAACAATAAATAACAAATAAATTTATCAGATCATTTCAGATTTTCATAAGTGTTATAAAGATATTAATTATAAAACAGGAAAATGTATTAGAGAATACTGGGGTGGGAGTAGCATGCTGCATTAGACAGACTGATCAGGGAAGGCTTCTCTGAGGAAGATTTACTTGAGAGCTGAGAGCTAAAGAATAAGAAAGTGCCATTGCTGGGAAGAAGGGAAGCATTAGAGTCCCAGGTGGAGGAAACAGTTGGGGTAAGTGTTCTATGGCTGAAACAAGCTTGGGCCGCTTGAGGAACCGAAAGAAGCCATTTTAGTTGGCTGTGCTTGAAGCCTCTGTATTAGAATGTCAATTCACCTTTTTGAACTATCTCTTGAGGTGAGTTGGTGATACAAAAGGAACTGTGACTTCAGTCCTGTTCAGCTAGTAGGTACCCACAAGACCCCTTAAACAGTAGTTGTTCATATGGTTCTGTTCTACATTCAAGATCACCCTCCAAACTCCCAGCAGCTCTCTCAGAAACTGGTGTCATCCCAAAAGAGAGAGAGGTGAGTATGTGTGACTGTCTCAGTTTGGACTCATCCTGTTTACCATCCTGACAGCATCAGCAGTATTTTCAAATATGAAGAACAATGTGAAATATTACCATGGGCCCGGCAAATGTCAGGAGAGTGCTGCGAGTAATTCATTAGAGTTTGCCCAGATGTCTCAGAACTGAATGAAACGAGATGAGCTGAGAACGGTATTAGAGAGGAAGTCTGCTCAAAATGTCCTATGTGTTTTTTCCCCAAATCTAACATGAAACAAATCTGAAGCCAGGAAGTGGCAGTTTTAAACAAGTTGTGCTAGATGTCACTTAGAAATGGCAAGGAGGTGTGTGAAATAACTCTGATATATTGAAGTGTCCATTGCTTCTTGTGAGGCAGAATGGCTGGAGTCTACTTTTCTCGAAACTTTGGAACACAAGTATGAACAATCCTGTATTAGCAAATTAAAGTTGTTAATAGCAAAAGAAAAGGAAGAAAGGAGGGATATGGTAACATAATTATAAAACACATACACAGACCTGAGTAAAGATGAACCAATGTGTGTTGGGGGTGGAGGGGTGGAGTGGGGGCAAATGTAGTGCTGGGAAGACGAGAAGACCTGAGTATGGTGGCAGGAAGAGGAGTGGTTCTATACCCAGTTCCAGAATTTTGCATATCAGTTGTTTTGTACAATGTTTTAGAAACAATGTAGCCTATGCTTGAACTTGAAATTACCACCTGATATTCTTAGCTTTATTTTCAAGATCATAGAATCAAAAGGGTTTTGACAAAATTCGCCTATCCAGCGATTTTCAATCTTTATTTCCTGAGTCTTAAGATTCTAGTTAAACTACTTCAAGTATTCATTCCCTGGGGATTGAGGGGAGTAAGAAAAACTTCCCACCACATTTTTAGTTGATTCTGCTTTTCTAAAAAGCCATAGAAGCATTGTCTGTAAAGATAGGAAATTGAAGGAAGTTTTAACTAAGACAATCTGGTCTGCTTCTTCCTTTGGGTAAGTTTGTTTTGTTGGACATACATGGTCGTCCTCAGGCACAGAGAACAAGCCAGATTTAATTTGAGTGAACCTAGCAGCATTTATAGGATATTTACTGGAGTCTTTACTTCCAAAAACGATCACAACCTGTCTTGTTCACAGTATTCTGATATAGTTCCTGGCTTGTGATTGATTCTCAATGATTGAACTTATCATAGTAATCACCATTATATAGTGGCAGATGAAACTCTGACTCCTAGTCTAGGGCTGCATATAATGAAGGCTGTGGAGTCCAATCTTACCCATGCTAAGTCCTGGCAATTTATCCCACCTCCTCCGTGCAGTCTTCCTGTACTACTCCTGGCCTCCATAATCTTTTCTCTCCTCCTGGGCTGATAGCAAGAAAATTCTGGAACTGGGTCTCCTTTAATGTTGGCTGGTAATCCTCTTGCTAGTTTTGATCTGTCAACAAGATTGTAATATCCTCAAAAACACAGATAGTCCGTTTTAATTTTTTAAATGTATTCCTCAAGTATACAAATTCTAGAAGAGTGCTTAATTTGTTATAAGCAAGCAAGAATATTTCTTGATTGATAGGCTCTGCTCATTTCAGAAACATATTACAACTTGTTGGAACATTCCAACTTGAAAAGTATCTTTTATAACATCTGTTTTGTATATTATCTCTGCTCTTGAAAAGATTTAGTTTTATAATGAATAATTTTCACTTCCCTAATGCATATGTAATCCTATTCTGGATTGAAATTAAGAAAAGAGGCCAGTATTCTACTGTATTTCAGTCTTGCCATTTCAGGGGAATAGAACATGAACACAAATGTACTCGCATCACTCAGACTTTTATATACTACATCAACTGATATGTTGGATTGTGTATAAAAATGACACTCAGAACTCCTGGATTTTTATTTTATCTCAATTTTTACATGATCTGAATTCTAAAATATTATATCTACATATTAGGTTTCAAATATTTTAAGTGGCTGGATAGCATTTCCTTACCAATTTGTGAGCAGTGGTCTAAATCTCACTTAAGTGCTGTCTGTCAGGTACATTAACTGCTTTATAGAACAGGATTGTATAAATACTAGAACTCATTGTTACTGTGTCTCCAAGACATTATTCCAAGAAATGTAATTCTCTGGCCTCAAGTGTAAGTTAAACATTATAACATACGCTCTGCTTGGAGCAATGATGACTGGTAAGACTGCCACCTGGCTAACAAGCCCAATGAGAAATGTACAGGGGGTTCTGATGTCATTTATAACAATGCCTATACATTGGATAACAAGGGCTGCATTGGCTCCCACCTCGGTTGGCTGTCTTCACTGCTGGAAAGACTGATCTGCCTCTCTGAGCTGCTGTTGGCCATTGCCACCTGCTGACTCTGGCACACTGCTCCCCTGGCTCCCCTCCTGGTGTTGTCCTGGCAGCCTCCCCAAACTGCCAAGTTTGAGCCAGTGAGCACAGGGGTGTTTGGAGCTCTTCACTTTGCTGAGGCTACATCCTGCAAACCGGTTGACAGCGGGGTGTCTTGGTGCTCTCCTGGGTCATTGTGTTGACTACTATGGTGATCAGCTGGCTGGCAGCAGCGGTGATTGGAAATTGCCCCAGAGAACGTCACAAATTGGCAAAGAAAAGATATTGAGGGAATGAGTCTTTACAAGAGAAAATAAACAATGCTTTATGTGGTAGCTGTGAGCATTTTCTATTCAGCCTGAATTCATTTTAGGCATTCAAAACTTTTCTCAGAGAGAGTTGCATTTAAACATTTATGTTTTAGTCTTGCAACTCTTCGTTCTATTGGTTTTACTTTTAACTTCTTGCAAAGAGCTTAGACGTACCCATTTAGTATGTGATAGGTCAGTGCCTACATGAGCTCACATAGTTTCTGGGGGCAGACCTGTGATGAAACATCAGGCTGTTCCCCCATCCCGTGTTTTAAACACTGACACGACGCACTGATATTTTTAATCATCTGTATGACAAACAAAGATTTTGTGTACATTATCAATACACTGAAGAATCCTCTCTTAATATAAGTGGAGCCATTTAAGAGCTATTGTCCAAACCAGGCTGTAAAAGCCCCAGTTGGAATCACAGCTGACTCTGCTGTGCTCTTTTAATGCTCACCACATACAGAATCATAATAACACACATAGCATTCCAGGGAGTGTGAATCATGCCATGAGACTGGGCTTTTCTGGAGTGTTTTAAAATGTAGATTTCGTTTTTGTTCAGGTATGGTGGGACCAACACATTAGGAGATGACTGCCATTGAAAAGACAGCTTGTGATACTCACTGATACCAAGAGGAGGGCACGTATCTTGCCATGCTGTTGGGGGGCCCACAGGGCATCACCACAGTCAGTCAGGAAACAGAAGGTGTAGGGGAAAACATGGACAAGAGCATTGTTCCATGGGAAGGGATAAATGAGACAGAGTAAAAAGGTTTAGGGTTTCCTAGTATGAATAATTCCAGCAGGCTCTAAGGTATAGGGGCTATCTGTAGTTGTCTGGTACCTGGCCCTGGGGTGACTAGGATGGAGAATAGTGGCCTAGAGTATGAAAATCTGATGGAGGAGATAGTTGGGATATGGGCTCTGGATGGGTTAGTTTGCATAGAAAAGACACCCTTATAGATGTGTCATTTCTATCCCTATTAAGTAACCCTGAGAAGGGCAGTCTCTCCTGGGCTCTAGGTGTCAACTAATCAAGAATAAAAAGTAAAAGAATATTTTTAATATGTGGAGTTAGCTAGCCTTCACACTGTCATGCTACATTGAATTTACGGCAACAGGGCTGTGGCTTATTTGCTCTTTATATTATCTTCAAGGAAGAAATTTCAAATCCAAGAGTCTTGAGTTTTCTAATAATGACTTTGGTACAGAAGGGAAGGGTATGTGACCTCTGACACTCAAAATGGCCAGTCATAGTCATTGTATGGCTGGGTGCAAAGAGAAGGGGAAAAATAAGAAAAGAAAGAAACCTCAGCAGAAGCATAATTATGTCCAGTGAAAGCACCACGGACCATGATGGCAGGTCCATTTGATAGGCCGCAAATCTGATGAGAGAGAGAGACATATTAGAAAAGCACCAAGTCCTAATTTTGCTTTGTTGGGAATTAGCATACATAAATCAGAGTTTTTTCAATGTTGACTTGAGATTATTTGGCTTGTAAGCAATAGGCAGTCATGTCTACTGCGGAGGAAGTGTGACCCGGGATGGACCCTGGCTCTGGTACTTAGGAGCTCTGTGATGTTGGGCTAACCTCACCAGATCTAACTTTCTTTATCATTAATAAGGAGAAAATATATGAAGATAGCAATAGTACCTTGAAGAAGTGCTCAAAAAATGTTAGTTTTGAGTAAATCAAATCTCACTAGAAAGAGCCAACATAGCAAAATTAATTTGATCAACCTTATATCTGGTATATGTTTTTCCCTCTTTCACACTCTTACTAGTAAACATAGTATTTTCGTTTTCCATTTTTATCCCCTTCAACTTGATGTTACAACATTTCCAGTCTTTCCACCAAAATTGCTTCTGAAAAAAACAGTTTGAGCACATGTTTGCATTTAAAAAAAAGAACATAAGACTAAAGAGTACAGACATGCTGCAAGGGAAGGTTAATACACCAGTAAATTCCTATGTCTTCTGTTCTGATTTTCCTTTCACTTACATATAATAATTCAGGTATATTTATGGATTTTGTACTTTTGGGAAGTCATATAGTCTCATAGAAGAGAATTAGGAAAACAATGACTAGGAGAAGGAAGAAAATATTTTAGTCACCCACATTCTTTCCATCCAAACTTATAAAATTGTTCATTTTTTATTGTCTTTATTTATTCAAAAGCAGTATCCTAAGGATATAATTATTAACAAACGATACATAATTTTCATATTTTTGTTAAATGTTGTATTATAAGTATTTGTAAAGTTGTTCCATATTGTATTATAACTTTTTTAGTGTCTCAGTAATACTCTCTTTAATACTTTTCAGGTCATTATAAGAATTATTGAGATGACCGAGAACATTTGAGTATTGAACAATGGTCCCAAGCTGATGGTCCATAGGCTAGAGCTAGCCAGAAGATACATTTGGCAAAAAGGACTCCCTTAAAGAACACTAACCTTTAGAAAACTCAAAGGAGTTTATTTAAAAATAGGAATTTGTAATTCTCTCAAAAACCTGGCCCCTGGCAATGCTGAACTTGTATTCTTCTGTGCGAGAACCTTTGAAAATAGAGTCCTCTTCTGACTTGGCATGAGTTTGTCACTTTGTTATAATTTTCCTTTCCCTCCTGCTCTCACTCAATTTAACTGCATTTGAGAATTTTAAAGACTTAGGAATCAAGATAAGTGCATGGTTGAGCTAGATGTCACTAAAGTCACATCAAACAAACTGTAAGAGTTTAAGCCTTTAGTTTAGTAATAAGGCCCCAGGGACAAGAATGGCAGTAGCAGAAATGAAGTGAAACTAGACAACTCATTTGATAGCAAAGATGAAGAAGATGAGAGGATACTTATAAAATTTTGAGTCTGGAAGTGTGTGGAAAGGTCATTGACTAATGGGGGAAGATGGCAAATTTGACTTCTTGTTTGTTGTCGTTGTTGTTTTTAGAGACAGGGTCTCTCTCTGTTACCCTGCCTGGAGTACAGTGGCACAACTGTAGCTCACTGGCCTCAACCTCTTGGGATCAAGCAATCTCCTGCCTCAACCTCCTAAGTAGCTAGGACAACAAATCAGCACTGTTGATCTGTGCCACTACACCCAGATCATTTTATTTTAAAGTTTTTTTTTTAGAGATGAGGTCTTGCTATGCTGCCCAGGCTGGTCTCAAACTCCTACCCTCAAGCAGTCCTCCTGCCTTGACCTCCCAAAGTGCTGGGGCTACACACATGAGCCATTTCTGACCAAATTTGATTTTTATTTATGTAATTTTTTTCCTTCAAAACTTGAAGAAATTCAAAGCATAAATTATTACTATGTGTCTGCATTAACTACGTTGCTTCCTACAAATGGCCAGCAATGTCTTCCATTTCTCTTTCTGTAGCTGGGCTGAGATCATAGGAAGTACTTAACTCTAGTTGACAAAGTCCAATCATTGAGTCAGCAAAGTAACAGGCACATTTTACTGCTTAATGATCTAATCACGCTTTGAGTATTGAGCTGAGTTATCCCATCCAAAAGAGAAAAGACTTGAGACTTTATTACAGGAACAACCACCTAATGAACATGACGATTTCTTTCAAGAATTTAAGGGTGTACTTGCATAAAAAGGAGTCAGTTTCCTATGAATGACCTCAAAGTGCAAACTCAGAAACAGTAAATACAAATTGTATTTTGGTAGGCTTAAAATAAATATAATGAAGAATCTTCTAAAAAATAGAGGTCTTTAAAAATAGAAATGTATCTGTGGAAAGTGTTAGGTTTTCTTTCATCAGAGGTATACAGTCACATGCTGGAAGAGGACTTGCAGTGAGCTAGACAGGGGGCACAAGCACTGATTAAATGACCTGTAAAATTGTATCCAGTCCTG